>NW_025791803.1:179513-359027 GCF_000001405.40 Homo sapiens | reverse complement strand
AGATAACAGACTTACAGTATTATACCATTAGGAAGACAAACTTGCTCAAAGATGGGCATTCACCCTGAGAACCTATGTTTTACAACTATGGAGAAATGTGTTCTTTTTCCTATATTAGATTTCTAAAATGAAGAGGCTGAGATTTTACTATTGAAGAGAATCATGCTTATATACAATTCTAGAAGGTACTCACAATTAGGCCTCTCATAACAATGGCCTGTCTTTTTGCATATCCATTGTTCACAAAACTCCCAAATAGTTTCTTCCTTTTTTTTTTTTTTTTAAAGAGGCTGGAATTCTCCTTTGTTGCCCAGACTGGATTCTGAGCTCAAGCGATCCTCCCACCTCAGGCTCCCAAGTAGCTAGGATTACAAAATAGTTTCTTGAAAAACAACTGTCTACGCTAAAAAGCCACTTTTCAGTGCTATATACTACTAAAATGTTTTAAATGTTCTACTTTTAAATATAGGTTACAAACCTAGTAGCATAAAAATTTTAATCCTGAAAACCTGAATTGCTTTCAGACAACATCAGGTGCATTCAGGGTGGTATGGCTGTAGGCCTGAACTGCTTTCAGAAATAACCAAACATACATAAATTCATTTCAAAACAAAATTTTTTTGAGACAGGGTCTCGCTCTGTCCCCTTAACTGGCTGAAGTGCGGTGGTGGGAACATAGCTCACTGCAACCTTGAACTCCTGGGGTCAGGCGATCTACTTGCCTCAGCTTCCCAAGTGGCTAAGACTATACAGGTGTGTGCCACCACACCTGGCTAATTTTTTTTTAAATGTACTTTGTAGAGACAGGGTCTCATGATGTTGCCCAGGCTGGTCTCAAACCCCTGGCTTCAAGTGATCCTCTTGCCTTGGCCTTCCAAAGCACTGGGATTATAGGCATGAGCCACTGAAGCTGACCTCATTTCAAAATTTTAGAAGTCCTATTTAAAAGAGACATGAAGGCCAGGCGCGGCGGCTCACGCCTGTAATTCCAGCACTTTGGGAGGCTGAGGTGGGCAGATCACCTGAGGTCAGGAGTTCCAGACCAGCCTGGCCAATGTGGTGAAACCCCATCTCTACTAAAAATACGAAAATTAGCCAGGCGTGGTGGCAGGCACCTGTAATCCCAGCTACTCAGGAGGCTGAGGCAGGAGAATCACTTGAATCTGGGAGGTGTAGGTTGCAGTGAGCTGAGATCGTGCCACTGCACTCCAGCCTAGGCAACAAGAGCGAAACTCTGTCTCAAAAAAAAAAAATAATAATAAAATAAACGAATGAATGAATGAGACATGAGGCACAGGTGCAATGAGCATAGACATGGCATAAAACTTAATAGGATTTTCTAAAAAAAAAAAAAAAAAAAAAAAAAAAAAAGCTTCAATTACCAAGGCAATGTCTGTGCAAATATCACTCAAGAAAAGATCTCTGTGTTCTTTTCAAGAAAAAAAAAAAACAAAAACCCAAAAAATCCAAAAAGACCAAAGAAAAAAATTACAGAAGGGAAAACTGGACCTGTTTCTAAAGTAAAATATTAAAACTGCAATTTGAAATTCTCAAGAAAGTGCTATATGAAATTTATGATCATTCTCATCATTTTCAGAAATTACTTTTTTCCATTTTCTTAAGAATTTTGGAAGAATCAATACGTGAGGGAAGACAGTTCTGGAAACATTTCAAAAACAGATCAACGGAAAGTAATGTAAGTATATAAAGAAAGACACAATTTTTTAACTTAATTTTTGTTTTTTAGAGACAAGGTCTTGCTCTGTTGCTCAGGTTAGGGTATCCATAGCTCACTGTAGCCTTGAATTTCTGGGCTCAAGCAATCCTCCTACATCAGCCTCCTGAGTTGCTGGGACTATAGCTCACATCCCACCATGCCTGGTGATTTTAGGAAGATGATACAGTGTACATACAGCTTGTAGCAATTAAGGTTCTAGCAGGAAACAGGTGGCAAATTCAAACTGAGATATTAGAGATTATGTATAAAGGAGAAGGCAGGTTTTAAGGAAACTCTTAAGAAACAGTGTGATACTACACCTGAAGTAGTGAGTGCAGGAAGCAGTTAGCAGAAAGCAGACACAGAGTAGGTTGTGTGGAGAGGGTCACCCAACAAAAACCATACTGCATGGATGGATGTAGCCAGCCCACTGGGACCCTGCAGAAACGGAGCCAAAAATATATACCTCCTAACCTTACTCTCTTTCTTCTCCCTAATCTTCCGCTTGTATTCCCTATGGGCCAGCTGAAAGCCAGAAAGGAGGGGAGCCCAATGATACCCTCTACACAGGTCAGCCTCTTAGGGTACACAGCAGGGTAAAGAACAGAGTGGATTTGAAGAGGCAAAGGCAAGATGTCCAGCATGTAGTTATGTTAGTCAGCACGAACTAATTTCTGTCACAAATAATCCCAAAATATCACTGGCTAAGACAACAAAAGTTAATTTCTCTTAAATCATGCTTTCTAATGGTTTTACCATCTTCTGGCGTCTTGGAGACCCCCTCCACTGAACCGTCTGTTTCTAGTAGGCGTTGATAGAAGAAAGCAAGAATGGAAGATTGGTGAGAAGTTAGACATCAGGCTTAAAAATCATATACAGTTGACCCTTAAACAACATGGCTTTGAACCATGCTGATCCACTTATACAGAGGTTTACTTCCACCTCTGCCAGCCCGGGGACAGTAAGACCAATCCCTCTTCTTTCTCCTCCACCTACTCAACATGAAGATAAAGAGGATGAAGACCTTCGTGATAATCCACTTCCACTCAGAGAACAGTAAATATATTTTCTCTTCCTCATGATTTTCTGGGTAACAATTTCTTTTCTGGAGCTTATTTCACTCTAAGAATATAGCATATACAACATTTAACTTACAAAACATGTTAATCTGTTTATGTTATCAAAAGGCTTCCGATCAACAGTCTATTAGTAGTTTAGTTTTTGGGGAGGCAAAAGTTATACGTAGATTTTCCATTGCGTGGAGATTCAGTGCCCCTAACCCCAGTGTTGTTCAAGGGTCGATTGTACATCATTGGAACTGACATTTTACTGGCCAGAACTCAGTCAGATGGTACCACCTAACTATCAGAATGCTAAGAGTGGTATGGTGCTGTGCCCAGAAGGAAGAAGAGAAACATGAATATGCTAAGTACTATTCTTATCATGTATTATGTAACACTCCAGTAGAAAATGGAACAGCACCCCAAAATCAATCTCATCAATATTTCTGCAGCGCAACATTAATATCCACATTAAGTGAAACAAAGATAGCTAAAAACCTCCCATCTATGCAGATAAGGCATTTGCACCAAATAAATTTTGGTGTCAAACTTTTTTATTTTTTGATAAAACTTAAGGTTTTTGGAGGATTTGGGGTTTCAGATTACAGACAAGGGATTATGAATGTGCATTATGATCCACATTGTACAAATGAAGAAATCTTCTCAAAACAGCAGCCAGGAAAGTAGAGATGAAAGTTAAACTCAAGCCTGTGCCTTCCAAATTTATGCTAATGTGAAGGGAAAACTGCAAATAACCAAATAACTCTTACTTTAGACATCATTAATGATACCAGCCCTCCGACATGGAGAAACAGGAGGTATTTCAATGAATTCCAATACTTATTGTGCCCCTTTTTTTTTTTTTTTTTTTTTGAGATGGAGTCTTGCTCTGTCCCCCAGGCTGGAGTGCAGTGATGCGATCTCAGCTCACTGCAACCTCCACCTCCTGGATTCAAGCGATGCTCCTGCCTCAGCCTCCCAAGTAGCTGGGACTACAGGCGCATACCACCAAGCCTGGCTAATTTTTTGTATTTTTAGTAGAGATGGGGTTTCACCGTGTTAGCCAGGATGGTCTCCATCTCCTGACCTCGTGATCTGCCCACCTCGGCCTCCCAAAGTGCTGGGATTACAGGCATGAGCCTGTGTCCTATTCTTTATAACTGGCCCTGTGTCCTATTCTTTATAAACACTCACTATATTAGAAGCTAGAGGGAATAGAAGGAATAAGAGGTGGTATCTTACCACAAAAAAAGCCAGAATATGGTGGAAGATTTAGTTTCTTTAGTGAAAATGAGACTCTGATCAAAGTATAAAGTACTAAAATGACTGATTCTGACGTGAAGAATTAGGGAAGGATCGTATAAAAGGTGCTGACATGAGTGGAGCTTGAAGAAACAACACAATTTTGAATGAGGAAAGTACAGTAGTACCCCCTTAACTGTGGGGGATATGTTCCAAGACCCCTCAGGGATACCTGAAACCACAGAATCACAGTATTGAACCCAATATATGCTGTGTTTTTCTCCTATACAGAAATACCTGTGATAAAGTTTAATTATAAATTAGGCACAGTAAGAGATTAAAAACAATAATAAAATAGAAGTTATAGCAATATACTACAATAAAAGCACATGCACATGGCATCTCTCTCAAAATATCTTATTGTACTATACTCGCCCTTCTTGTGATGATGTGATATGACACAATGCCTATGTGATAAGATGAAGTGGGTTGACTAATGCAGCACTGTGACACAGTGCTAGGCTACTATTAACCTCATGATACATCCAACTTATGTTTATTTCTGGAATTTTCCATTGAGTATTTTCAGACCATGGTGGACCATGGGTAACTGAAACTATGGAAAGTGAAACTTAGGATAAGAGGGGGCTATTATTACACTTTGGGCAAGTTGGGGAGGCTGCACAAAGATACAAAGTTGGTGGGTATTTGAAGACCTGAATAATGGCAAATTGACTATTGTTTGTTTGGGAACATTTGAGTACTAAATAGAATTTAAATTTTACTTAATCATCATGAAGAGGCCTGGAGAGCTTAAGATAAATAAGAAAGAGAAGATAATGAGAAATCCAGTGTTGGAGAAACATTTGGCTAGGTGATGATACAATTAACCAAGAGATTATGAGAAGAATATATCTAGATACAAAAATAGGAAGGAGAAAACACTAACTTCTGAATTTTAAACAAGTTGAGACTGAGGTGTTTGAAGCATCAATAAAGAGTTGTGTAAGTGTAGTACTCAAAAGGTCAAGATTAGAAAAATAGAATAAGTCACAGTTTGCTCAAGTTCGAAACATTACTATTACTATTACTATTACTATTACCAACTATATACCCCCCAAAGAAATCCACAGAATGAGCAAGTGAGCAGAGAGAGGACAATGACAAACTCCTGTAAATTACTGCAGTACTCCGATTCATAATATCTACTCTGGTTGCCAAGTAGTTTTTTTTTGTTTGTTTACTTCTTAGATCTGACCACATTAACCTCCAGTTAAGTGAAGTTATTATATGTACCATATAAATAAGATTTACCAAGCATGGTTCTATTCATGGTTTATTCATTCAGGGGAAAAATGATCTTCACAGCACAGTAAAACAAGTGAGGAACATGTACTGGCTTGTACTTCTGCCATTTATGTTGCAATTTCCTTGTATGTCAACACCATTGTTCACAGTCCTGCAATTTTTAAAGTGTGCTGGCCAATATGATGAAAACATTAGCAGAATACAACCCAATTTCCCTATATGCTAGTTATCATGGAAAACGGCTGACCAAAAGACAAAATTCCTTCAAAAAATTTACTTTATGCACTTCAAGGTGACTGGTTTAATACATTAAAAAACCATACACAAACACACAAAAGTTTGTAAACTCAGTATGAAAAAGTATCACTTTCATATGTAATCCTTTTCTTAAGTTTCATATTAATGAAGTTTAACTTCTTTTCTAAGGTTACTTTATTTACCAAAAATTAAATACCTGAAATGTTGTATTACTGAATTATTTTTTAAACTTCAAAATAACCATGGGTAGAAACTGCCCTATAAACATATGTACAGATGTTCTAAGGAAAACGCAGACACCTTTAATACACTTACTTGGTTTAAAATCATAATAATCACAGCAGGCAAAATAGTAAATTCATCTAGTTAGAGTCAATCCAGTGAAGCAATTCATTAATGTATACATGGTAAGAGGAATAACAAATGCTATTCACTGGATTCTTTAAATTAGCAAGCAGATTTTAGAACTTTATTTGAATTCTTTAATCTCTGCCAAAGTCTATCTGTTTATATGTAGTTGTCTGGAAACACTCAGTTGGATACTTCCAAAGAGCAAATGGCAGGTCAAGTTTAGAACACATGACTTCCTCACTAATTATATTTAAATAGCATGCAGTGAGTGAGAAATCAGATTCCCCATAGACGCTGGAGAAAGACTGAATTCTTACTCTTCAAAGAAAAATATCAAAAGGTAACATTAATTTGAAATGTTCTCAATTACGTATTAGAGCCAAATGTAACTTTTAATATATATGTTAGAGTTCTACAGTTAAAATTTGGGCTTTAAGTCACAGACTTAAGTTCTAGCTTGGGTCATTTTTAGATATGCACCCTCAGGTAAGTTATGCCCCTTGTCTGAGCCCATTTGCAAAATGAAGGAGTTGGTTTTGTTCATTTCTAAATCTTAAAACTATGAACTTCTCTAGTTTGTTATTGTTGTTGTTGTTGTTGTTAATGAAGAAAACCTCATCCCAGCACTGGGGAAATGCTTTGGTTTAACCTCTTTAGTCTTTGGGTAAATATTTAGAAGTAATATCCTAATTTGTGACCTAAACTAAAACCTTAAATTGTTGGAATAAAGGTCATGAGAAATCAAGAAAATACCAATATTTATTTCATTATTTCTTTTGTTGCTCTACTGTCCCAAATTGCCTCTCAGTCTTTGCCCCTACCCTACTCTATACTGATCTCAAGCCCCCATATTTATTGCATTGAATGTCTAGAGTTTTATTTTTTTCCTTTTTTAAATAGAAAAATGCCAATTAAGCTCTTTTTCAGTCTTGGGATTGTTTTTGCCTTCAGTTGGTAGCCCTCAATAGAAAATAGGTCTTCTGTCAGCAGATGTTGACAACAAAGAAAGGGAAGCTTTTAATTTGTTCACTAATAGTGAAAAAGCAAACATTTACATAACACAAATGTACTGATAAACACAATTAAGGATATATGCTTGCCTATTTGTGATCCAAGTGTTCAATTAAAATTATATAATTATTGTGAAACAGAGGAGGATGATGTTCAAGCTATCACCGATTGGCCTGCTCTTCATGTTTGTTAACATTCCGGGGACAAACTTCAACATCAACAACCTCAAATTCTATGGCAGTATCCAATCCTGCGTCAAGCCTGAATCCCGGGACCAGACCTAATCCCAGGAAGAGCACCAATCCCAGAATGAACCCCAATCCTGGGATAAGCCCAGATCTCAAAATGACCTCGAGTCCCAAGATGACTCCAAATTCCAAGACAAGTCTGAATAGAGCAGTGACCCCAAAGAGCCACAACTATGAATATGAATACTGTGACAAATGGTAGCACCAATCCTGGGACAAGCCCAAATCTCAAAATGACCTCAAATCCCTAGATGACTCCAAATTCCAAGACAAGTCTGAATACAGCAGTGACCCCAAAGATAGCCACAACTATGAATATGAACACTGTGACAAATGGTAGCACCATACTCAATCCAATGGACAACATTTATTTTCTATGTAATATTTTTGCTGTTTTGTGTATACTTGCACTCAGGCTGAAGTGAACTTCAACTGCCTGCATTCTTATCTCAGTTTCTTATTATTGCTGAATGACAAGCATGCTAGGAAAATATCATTTATTTCAATTTACTATTTAAGAAATTATCATCTTGATTTTTTTTTGCAAATTATAATTGTGTACGTTTAAATATTAACTTAATATGATGTTTTCCTTCCATATGAAAGAAGTATGCACTACCTTATTAAATGCTGAAACAAGCAAAATACCATGTTTGCCTTTTAAATGTTTGCAAAACTGAACCAAAACTCAGATATTTATATTAAAGGTGTAAGAGAAGAAATTATGTAGGTGGGGTGTGTGTGTGTGTGTGGTGTATGTGAGAGAGAGCACACACATGAGAGTGAGAGAGCGAGTGAGCAACAGTGACAGAGAGATGAAGGATAGGGGATAGGGGATAGAGGATGGGGGTGTGGGATAAGGAGTGGTATGGGGGAAGTTGTTTTTGTATTTTATTTTTATTTTTTTGAGACAGAGTTTCACTCCTGTTGCCCAGGCTGGAGTGCAATGGCATGACCTCAGCTCACTGCAACCTCCACCTCCTGGGTTCAAGCAATTCTCCTGCCTCAGCCCCCAGAGTAGCTGGGATTACAGATGCCCACCACCACGCTCGATTAATTTTTTGTATTTTTAGTAGAGGGGTTTCACCATGTTGGCCACGCTGGTCTCAAACTCCTGACTTCAGGGGATCTACCCGCCTTGGCTTCCCAAAGTGCTGAGATTACAGGTGTGAGCCACCATGCCCGGTCTATATTTTATTTTTTATTAAACAGACAAAAAATGCTAATCTGATAAACTAAAGCGCTCTACAAAATAACACATTCATCTGTATTAACATATTTCACGAAATGTGTTAATAGTAATATGTCATTTCGCTAAGAAAAGGTGCCAATTCTGCTAACCTTTGTAATGTATAATGATATTGCGCCAATGACAAGATTATCTTATATTGAGTACACTCTTGTCTTATGTTTCAAAAAACCATTTGTAAATCAGATGCCTGGAATCGAGAACTTATTTTCCCCAGAGTAATATATCTCATAACTGTTGGTTAGGTTTTCATGCTCATCTACAAAGATTTACCCAAGCATACAATTATAATAGTAATAAGCATGTAATTAATAGTGCATTTGTTAAGAGCTTTGGCTTAGGTTTGAAACCGAATTCTGATTCTTACTAGTTGTGCTACCATGAATTAAGTACATGACCCAGTGAGATTCCCAAACTTTAGTAATAAATGAAACACTTGGAGTGCCTGTTAAATATATAAATAAGGCCCTGCCCCTGAGATTTTGGTTTGGAAATGGGGGCTGGGGATATGTTTGTTTTAATGTTCCAGATCATTCTGATAGCCATGTTTGGGTTTCAGTTTATACGTACGTCAATTAATTGTTAATAATATCTCAGAAGGTTATTATGTAGATTAAATGAGAAATTATGTAATATGCACAGTTTCCTGATGCAGAGAAAGCACTTAGGAAATGTTAGCTATTATCATTATTTACTACTACCACCCAAAAAGCAATTGCCAGGTATCACAATATTCCTAAGAGGAAAACTCTTCTTTGTAACTTGGGGTTTTTGTTTTGTTTTGTTTTAATGTATTCTTTCAGAGAAGGCCTCACTCTGTTGCCCAGGCTGGAGTACAGTGGTGTGATCTCGGCTCAATGCAGTCTTGACCTCCCAGGATCAAGTGATCCTCCCACCTCAGCCTCCTGAGTAGCTGGGGCTACAGGTGTATGCCACAATGTACGGCTGATTTTTGTATTCTTCTGTGGTGACAGGGTTTCACCATGCTGCCCAAGCTGATCTCAAACTCCTGAGCCCAAGTGATTTCCCCGCCTTGGCCTCCCAAAGTGCTGGGATTACAGGTGTGAGCCACCTTGCCCGGCCACTTTGGGGTTTTATATTTTTAATTATTCTTACAAAAACAATATATGCTCCTGGCAAGCCAAACAACATAGAGATAGATAACAGAAATATTAAATTGGTCCTCTATCTCCTCCAATCACACTTCTGAGATAAGCAATGTGAACAGTTAATATGTATACTTTCATACATTTCTCAGTCTACACATACACATGTGCAGGTGCACACACACACTGTCGTGTACCTTGTAAGGTAAGTGTCAGAGTCATCTTTCTGGGCCTTTTTAAAGCTGGATGTAGAGGACTTCTGCTACTTCTGCCTGCCCAGTATCCATTTTGCCTCATTCTAGTAACAGCAATTCAATTTTCCTTTGTGAAAACCCTGCCCCCATGCCCTCCTTTTAGTTCATGCAATTTGGATAGGGCTGGCTTTACCACTGCATTCCAGGAAGGGGCACATGATCCAGGCCTAGATAACCAAGAAATTCCATCCCCCTTGCCATAGTGACTGCCTTAGGAATGGCATGTGACTCACACCAGGCCAGTAAGACCAACCACTTTTGCTGAAACCACAAAACTGGGAAAGAGGTGTTTTTCCTCTGGGATTGTTAAGCTGGGAGAACACAAACCATTACCAGCCACAGCTAGGGAGCAGCTGCTTGGGAATAAAACCGACACAAAGAAAGTAGAGTTAAGAGCCAGAGAAGACAGATGTTCTGCAGATGATACTGTTTAAAGCTCTGCAGCTAGTCATGCAAGAAACTAATACATCTCTTGATTTTCTTAGGTACATGAGTCAATAAATTCCTTTTTGGCACACATAAATTTGAATTGCATTTCTGTCACTTGTAACAAGCAAAATTAACACATTGCCTTATTCCCTAATGTAAATGTATCATCATTTATTCAACAATTCCCCTTTTGAAACACAACTCTATTGTTTTCCTTTTTGTTGCCACTATATAAACAATGTTGCAACAATGTCCTTGTATTATGCTACCTTACCACAGGGCAAGAGCATAAGTATATTGGATGGAATAGAAGGAAAAGATTAGAAAAGTACATTAGGCCAAAATTACCTTGCATGTTTGACTACAGAACTTGGACTTTATACAGGGAGTCAATGGGACAGACAAGCTTTCTACTGGAAACTGGCTCCAGAAGAAATGTTAAGATTACCTAGAAGTAGTCAACTGGTGATGAAGGAGGAGGAGAATAATGCTACATTAGTATAAGTAAGACACAGAGTTCCAGCAAAGCAGTGGGGGAAAATGGTTTCGAAAGACATTGCCAAGGTACGTAATAGTAATATTAGACCATTAAGCTCCAACTAAAAAAAAAAATTAGGCCAGGTGTGGTGGCTCACATCTGTAATTCCAGCACTTTAGGAGGCCAAGGCAGGAGGATTGCTTGAGCCCAGGAGTTCAAGCCCAGCCTGCGCAACATAGCAAAACCTCATCTCTACAAAAAAAATAATAATAATAAATTAGCCAGCTGTGGTGGCACACACCTGTTGTCCCAGCTACTTGGGAGTATGAGGCAGGAAGATTGTTTGAGCCTGGGAGCTAGAGGCTGCAGTGAGCCATGGTAGTGCCACTGCACTCCAGCCTAGAAAACAGAGTGAGACCCTGTCTCAAAAACAAAACAAAAAAAATTAAAACACATACCTAAGAACAGCCCCTGATGAAGAAACAGCACCAAGTGGTCACTTTTTTTTTTTTTTTTTTAGACAGAGTCTTGCTCTGTCACCAGGCTGGAGTGCAGTGGTGCAATCTTGGTTCACTGCAACCTCCACCTCCCGGGTTCAAGCAATTCCCCTGCCTCAGCCTCCCGAGTAGCTGGGACTACAGCCACGTGCCACCACGCCTGCCTAATTTTTTGTGTTTTAGTAGAGATGGGGTTTCATCATGTTGGCCAGGACGGTCTTGATCTCCTGACCTCATGATCTGCCCGCCTCAGCCTCCCAAAGTGCTGGGATTACAGGCATGAGCCACCGCGCCCAGCCAAGTGGTCACATTTTGAATCACATGACTGCTGGGCCAGGAGCACATACTGGACATAGGGGCAGCCAGTAATCAACTGGCTGGCCAGAACCTAACATTAAAGTTTCTGCCAAGCAGAGATGCTTTTTAGCTGAATCATATTTTCTTTCTGGAATTTCAGATGTGCAGTACTGAGATAATGAACGGGTTACTATCTGGGGCAAAAGCTGAAAGGATACAGAAAGATGAAAATCATGAGGAAGAGTTGAACACAAAACCAAGAGACAGTCAAAGAGCATAGCCAGTTCCAGCACCACAGCCATCTAGTTCTCTATATCTGGGTAGGCTCTGCGCTAATTCATGCTTTTCCTAAAAACTATCCTTGAGAAAATACAAATGACTGCTTTGCAATAAAAGCCTAACTAAAACAACTTAACTGATTGCCCAGGATCTCACAGGTAAAACCAAGATTTGGTGACTAACAATGAGAAAGACAATAAGAGGAAAGAATTTAAAATGATTAGGGTCTCTAGATGGGGAACTAGAAGGGATGATGATGGTACTGAGAAACAGAAATACGGTGTGAAGAGGAGGTTGATTTGAAGATATACTGAATTAAGTTTTGGACATTTCAAGTCTGAAACGTCTGTGGACCATCGATAAGGAAATTAGAAAATCCACAATTCAAAAAGCATTACTTAATACATAGTAGTCTAAGCCACAGAAACACAGGAATATCAAAAGAGAAGTCAAACCCAAGTGCTCTTTGACAAAACTGACGGCATACAGACAGACAAGACCTTCATAATGGAGTAAATGGATGCTCTGCTCTGATATACTGTGTACTCATCTGTCTTGGAGCTAGGCTTCACACCAGGTGAAAATGAAGGTCAGGAGGAGCTCCAGTAGGTCTAAGTAAGAAACTAAAAGGATTGAAAATCTGAAACTGACAGTGCCATATCCCCCAAAAAAAGAATGAAAGAAAAAAAGAAAATCTCAAATTTACTCCTTACACAACTTTATAGGTCACAAAACTCTTTATAGGAGAGGTAGACAGTTTTTATAAGCACATACCCCAGCTTTAACATATGAAGCAACAGATTTGGAAAAATAAACTTATCTAAGATTATGCAGCTAAGGCCAGGTGCAGTGGCTCACACCTGTAATTCCCAGCACTTTGGGAGGCCGAGGCAGGCAGATCACCTGAGGTCAGGAGTTCAAGACCAGCCTGGCCAATATGGTGAAACCCCATCTCTACTAAAAATACAAAATCAGCCACGCATGGTTCTACATGTCTGCAATCCCAGCTACTCGGGAGGCTAAGACAGGAGAATCACTTGAAGCCAGGAGGTGGAGGTTGCAGTGAGCCAAGATCGCTCCATTGCACTCCAGCCTGGGTGACAAGAGTGAAACTCCATTTCAAAAAAAAAAAAAGATTATGCAGCTAATAAGCAGCAGAGCTGAGAATTCTTAGCATTCTCAGGCCACAAGACTCAATAGGTTTCATGGAAACCAAACTGATTGAATCTCACTAAGGGATCTGCAGCAGGTCCAATCTTTCCTTTAGCTTTTTCTAGATCACCACAGAGAGGGAATACAAATATAACAGTTTCTGATTCCGAAAAAAAAAAAACGCAGCTTTGTTTTCCAGAAATCTTTGCTATTTGTAAACTAATAAGATTTTAAAGAAGAGGGGGAAACACATCTTCTACCTCCCTTACCAATGTTTGCTTTTTACTTAGACAACAACGGAAAAGTAAAAATATCCTGGTTGTATTAAAGGTTGGGGTTAGAATACAAATATGGTTCATCTCAAACGCAAACGAAAATTAAAATGATCTTAGGCAATTTAGAAATGGCAACTGAGATGAGAGCTGGAGAGAGGCCTTTCATGGGAAGGTGAGCAGGGGTTACTTAGAGTTGTTAAAGGGCAGGGGGGTGGCGGGAGGTTCAATGCAATTTTCTTACTTTCTTGATTCCCTAATACTCCAGTCCTTTGGACTTCTTGGTCTTAAGGCTATCTGAATGACCCTATTAGACAAGTTTCCCATCTTCCACTGATCTTCCTTCACCGTCTCTCTACTATTTCTCAACCTTGATTTGTTTCCTACACACTGCCACCTGTGGCCAGCAAGCTGACTAACAATGTAAGTCTACTAACTTAATGGTCATGGATGTTAAATACTGTTAAATTCAGGAAACTGGTAAAGATTAAGTCTATAACTAATGAGTAGCAGAACTAGGTCTAAACATGGTCCTTGAGATTCCAAAGTCAGTGGTTTCTCTATGTATCATGTTGTCTCTAAGGCTCAATTACCATGAATGTATGTCATGGTAAATGGGAAAAAGTAAAACTGACCAAATAACGTCACAGATTGAGTTTTCAAAAGGAAGGTAAAATGAAGCAAAAAAGAAAAGACAATGGTAGGGAAAGCAAGGCAAGCATCATACCTATTATTAAGGAAGAGCTCACAACATTTCCAGAAAGGCTTTCTAGGAACTAGCCTCAACTGAGGGCAGCATGAACAAGCACCGTTTTCCAGGCCACCCCTTGCACCATCTTCATAGAGATTTTTCACCACTCCTTTGAATTATTTTTTAAATCATCCTGATGCTGTCTTACACAGCATATTTTTAAAAGTTCTCAGAAATAGGCTCTTATAGTTTTATTTCTTCCTTTAAAAAAAGTTCCCAGTTATCATGTTGTGAGTACTATTTAATCAGAATATACTTGAAAACAAAAGATTCTTTGTGGGTTTTTAACTCTTGGTAATTAATCCATTGCAGGCAGTATTTTAAAAAATGATGTAGGACAGAGTAAGCAATATGAAATGGGTAGTATGAAAAGCAGCTACTAGATACCGACCATCATTTTAGGAAACGCAGGCTATTTACCCTGCTATATGCTCCCAAGTAAACTTGTCTTCAATTCCTGTTAAGTCAACTGGGAAAAACCAAACTTGCCATCTCTCTATATTTGCTATAATTTAAAAAATTCTGTTAAGAGACCCAAAACATAGTATTTCTTACCTCCGTGCAACATAATAAAAAATAGGATTCCCAGCTTTGGAAGTCCCAGCTTGGTAGAAAATACTTAACGTTTTCAAAGCCTTGAATTCTTCTTTTTCATGTACCTGATGCCTAAAAGAAAAATAACAGAGTAATTATGAGGCTTTATGTTGTCTACTGAGTATGTAAAAAAGTCTATAATTGGATAAACAATAAAATACTAAAATGAAAAAATATTTTAAAAGCAACAGGCATTCTAAAGGGTAATTTGGCAACATGCACCAAAAATTTCAAGGTATTACTCTTTGAACCACAAAAGCACTTTTAGGACTATTCTAAGAGAACTACTGGGCAAGAATATTAACCATAGGATTGGTTTTACTCATGACATTTTTGTCCCAGACAGAAGTTTATGATTTTTTAAATAATTCATTTTATCAATCTTTTCTAGTTTATGGATTTTGAATGGATGAAAAAGGCCTTGCTTTGCTCATTTTTTTTGATTTATGGAAGTTTATCATAAATGGTATGAAAATATTTTTCCAAATCATTACTCAGTTTTATCAAAACCATTTATTGAAAGTCCATCCTAATCTCGATTCTGAATACCAGCTTTAGCATATATTATGTTCCCATATGTATTAAAGCCTGGTTTAATTTTTATATAGTTTGCTCAAGACTCAGTGTGCTTCTTCAACCTCAAGATTCATGTCATTCATCAACTCTAGAAAACATACATCCATTAGCCTTTCAAATATTACTTCTTCCCATTCTCACTGAGCTCAGTTTCTAGGGAACACCTACTAGACATATTTTGAACCTCCTCATTTTATCTTCTGCATCTCCTAACCTCTTTCATATTTTCCATTTATCTGTCTATACTGACTGTATGCTAGGTAATTTGCTTAGAAACTAGCTTCAGCTATAAATTTAATTTTTTTTTTTTTTTGAGATGGAGTTTTGCTCTTGTTGACCAGGCTGGAGTGCAGTGGCACGATCTCGGCTCACTGCAACCTCTGCCTCCCGGGTTCAAATGATTCTCCTGCCTTGGCCTCCCAAGTAGCTGGGATTACAAGTGCCCACCACCACACCTGGCTAATTCATATATATATATTTATTTATTTAGTAGAGATGGGGTTTCGCCATGCTGGCCAGGCTTGCCTCGAACTCCTGACCTCAGGTGATCTACCCACCTCGGCCTCCCAAAATGCTGGGATTACAGGCGTGAGTCACCGCACTCGGCCTAAATTTTTTTAAGTACACATATTTTCTTTTACACCTAGTATTTCTATGAGCCTTATGTCTTGGGAAGAGATTGCATTAGCTCAGCCCATCATGCTGCTGGTACCAGGTCAGAATTTTAAAAATATTAATGGAAACAACCTAGATATCATTTGATAGGAGAAACAAATGTACATGTGCATAGATAAATGACTGGGAGACTATTCACCAAACGTTAAGTGAAGTATTCTGAGAGGGAGGATAAACAATTTTTAATTTTTTTAACTTTCTTTAGATTTCTATATCAAGTAATTTAATAATTTTTTAAATAACTGAGAATATTATAAAGCTACCTTCATTTTTTTTTAAAAAAAGAAAATGGGTCTCCAAGAGCATCAGTGGGAATTTAGAACAAAAATAAGATCCAACATTTATTAATTACTTTACAAGTACCAGATACTATGCTAAGTATATTATATATATTGGATTACTTAATCTTCAAAAGCACAAAAGATTGCTTTGTAAGGGAAGGTAGGATCTTAGAAAAAAGGAATAATAAAAATATTTTTCTAGAAAAATGGCTAGGATGTCCTCAGTGATGTCAAATTTAAAAACTGTTTTGATTCATTCATTTTTATATTTATATTTATTTATATTTATATTTACTTATATTTCTTTTTACTTATTTATATTTTTACTTATTTCTTTATTTATAGACAAGGTCTCATTCTGTCACCTAGGCTGGAAATGCACTGGTGCAATCACAGTTCACTGCATCCTCAAGCAATCCTCCCACCTCAGCCTCCCAGGTAGCTGGGACCACAGGTGCGTACCATCACACCTGGTTAATATTTTATTATTTGTAGAGATGGAGTCCTGCTATGTTGCCCAGGGTGGTCTCACACTCCTGGGCTCAAGCAATCCTCCTGCCTTGGCCTCCCAAAATGCTGGGATTACAGGCATGAGCCACTGTGCCCAATCTATCTATCTTATCTATCTTATCTTATCTTATCTATCTATCTATCTATCTATCTATCTACCTACCTACCTACCTACCTACCTACCTACCTATCTATCTACCTACCTACCTACCTACCTACCTACCTATCTATCTATCTAATAAAGACAAGGTCTCACTATGTTGCCCAGGCTGGTCTTGAACTCCTGGCCTCCAGCAATTCTCTCACCTTGGCCTCTCAAAATGTTGGGGTTATAGGTATTAGCCACCATGTCTGGCCTAAAAATAGTATTATATTTTTGTAGTATATAATTTTCAATTAGGTAATGTGAATAGTCTGTATGGAAAATATGCCCTTAATTACATAGGAATAAACATTTGTTACACTAAAAAAAATCTAGTAGAGCTAAAAATAAAAATTAATTTGGAAAGGACACTATATACCCATACATTCTTATGTTTATACATTCTTTCATATATTCATATATTCTTTTAACAGTATCAATGGTTTGGAGTTATATGTACAAAACCATGACCTGTAAGTAATACAACTAACAACAGGCACTTACAATTCAAGGCATATTATATACAAATCTTTAACTTCTCATCATCAGATTCTGTTTTATTCTGTTTTGGAACATACTATGAACATAGCACTCAAATCACAGACACGAAGGAGCACTTACTAAGCATAAAGTCCTGTGAAAGGTACTTTAAAAGATTCAGCAAACTACTCTCACTGTATCATCACAGAGTAAGTGTCTAACAATGAGGATCTTTTCATTCACAAACTAAATCCCACTAAATGGGATTCAAACAAATGTCCACAGAAATTTTACAGCAATACTGAAGTATACTATATTTTCTGAACCTTAATCTGAAATAATTTAAAACCATTAACCTTTATGAGGGTTCTGAAAAATGTTATAGTGTAGTAGAGAAGTCCTGCACTTAAAACCAAAAGACCTATGAATCAGGTGTGGAATCTTAGGCAAGTCAATTATTCACATTGAGTTGCATTTTCCTTAACTATAATTTGAAAATAATGTTGTCTTCACTCCCTGGTAAGTATTAAATGTGAAAACTTATGAAAGCAAGATGATAAAATATGATTTGTTACTATTGTTATGACAATCAATATATAAAATAAAACACACCCTATATATATAAATAATATATAGTTGGATTCCCCAAACATGGCAATGTGATTATTAAATACATCTTTCCTCATAGTCTTCTATCATATCTAACAAGTGGCCTGGTGGCAAACTCTCCTTCTCAACCAAAAAGAAAGCAATCAACTATTTCAAGGTTGTACTTTACCTAGTCATAAATTCCTCAAACTTTGAACTGGTAAGGTTAAGGCTGGACCAGTGTGTATCTGCCACAGGTTTGTGCTCTGGAGGACCCAGGTATGCAAGAAGTGTTGCCATCTTATCAAAAGGTCGTCTTCCAACAGCTTTATGATCCCTAGATACAGCAAACTACTTAGAAAAAAAATTAGCAGTTCACATTTAGCACTACACATTTCTTTAACTTGTAACTGGTTGCTTTTCCTTTTACTGTCAGCTGATTTGTAAACAGCACCAAAAAGACCTCAGGACCATGTCTACTTCAATCCATTAATAATTCATAAAAGATTAAAATGCCCTGTCATTTAAACTCCCATCTCCCAATTGCTTACCCTTAGCTTCACAGTCCACTACTTTTCCCGTGAATGTGCTAATCATTTTTATTGGCATTTAAAAATAATTTGGACTCATTCTTCCTTTGTAAGGAACTCTTCATACATAGGAATTTGGTCCCTTTACAAGTTTATATAACTAGATGGGACAGCAAGTAATTTATGTTACACAAGAGACTAATAAGAGCTAATGAAACAATGCCCAAATTAATAATTTTGATTTTTAAGTATTTTTTTTTTTTTTTTAATTTCTGAGATGGAGTTTAGCTCTTGTGGCCCAGGCTGGAGTACAATTGTGCGATCTTGGATCACTGCAACCTCTGCCTCCTGGGTTCAAGCGATTTTCCTGGCTCAGCCTCCCGAGTAGCTGGGATTACAGGCCCCTGCCACCATGCCCAGCTAATTTTTGTATTTTTCGTAGAGACAGGGTTTCACCATGTTGGCCAGCCTGATCTCGAACTCCTGACCTCAGGTGATCTGCCTGCCTCAGCCACCCAAAGTGCTGAGATTATAGGTGTAATCCACTGTGCCAGGCCGGTATTTTCTATATAAAGCTTTATTTGCATATACTTAAGAGTATCACGAATGAGTTTATCATAGAATTAAAACACTGACAATATTTTAATTACTGAATTCCTACGAATTGGCTGTTCTTCAGAGTCAAATGCCAACGCTAATCTGAACTTCTTTGGATCTATAACAATCTGCAAGCCATAAAAACCCAAAGAGCAAATCTGTGATTTCTTAACCTGACAAAAAAATAATAATAATGACCACTGGAACCTAGGTAGGTTTGTTGATTATTTAATATGACTTAACCTTTTGTTTGTATTTTTTTGAAAAAAAGAATCTTTCTCTTTCTAAACCATAATTCTTAGTCCAAGAAGATGCAAAGTAAAAAGCACTATTCATGACCAATAATTGTATTAATCTAAATTTAAACGGAGAGTGTTCACTATCCCCATGACTGGGAAATCTTACCTGTTGCTGGAAAGATACTGCCCAATTTTCTCCTGATTGTTCCAGAGTAGACGATGTAAAGCAAGCACATTGCCGTCACTTATGAAGGAAAGACTATGATTTACTGCATCACTTGTAGGACAATCAGATGCTATATCAAGGAAAAACCTTCAAAAATGCAAAGTCATTAGAATTTTCAACACCAGATACACCCAGACTTATGTTTGAATTAAATTTATAAGAAGTAACTTTGTGAAGTAACTAAGATTACAAATATGGAGGGCTTGTTCACACAATGTGACTTGACATTAGACAAAGCAAAAAGGACAAGGAGAAAGTTGGCTTTCCATTTCTGATACCCGGCTTCAGCTTCAAAGTAGGCTCTGAAGTTAAACAACAACAAAATTAAGATGGATGAAACTTTGGAAAGAGGCTAGTATTTTACAGATAAGGAAATGAAGGTCCAGACGAAAGACCTCCCCAAAGATATATAGCCTGCTAGGTCAGAGCCAGGATTAAAACTTTGATCCTTTTAACTTTGTATGGGTACACAGAGTGCCAGAATATGAATCCTATGCTGACATTCACTCTCTTTCCAACATGGCTTGTCATTCAGCAATATACCTTTTCAACTCCAATTTCTCTAACAGAAAAAAAGTCAGTAACAACTACAATGATGATAAACTGGAAGAGAGAGTTGTACAAGGCTAGCTTAGATGATGAGGATCAATTAGATTCACACTGCATGAAAAGCAGAATTCCAGACATAAATTTACAAAGCGCTTTCTTATGAATTATCTCATTTTTTTCTCTAAAAACAACTCAGGCAAAGAGTTTATCCCTACTTTACAGATAGACCAATAACTCAGAGAAATAAAGTGAAATAACTAGTTATAGAAATCTAGCAGAAAAGTTTTCTAAAATCATAAAGTTCAGTTCCTCATAAACAAAATCTTATGTGTTTGTTTGACTTGGTTTAAAGAATAACATTTTAGTTTAGATACACTTCCAAATTTAAGTATCACAAATACTCTAACATCAAAAAAACCTTATTAAACATTGTTATGTATTATTGATACCAATTTGGTTTTAGTTTTAAATAAAAAGAATCCTACTTCTTCCTTGTCCACATATTGTACCATCCTCAAATCCTTTATTTAATTAGACATGTCAAAAATCCCTCTTGGTTTTCAAATATGAAAATCACTACCAAATTATAAAAAATATTAATTTATTTCATGACTGTCTTTTATAGTAAAATAAAATAAGACAAGCTATGTCTTGACCTAGAGCAGGAAAAGAAAAAAACTTACACAGGAACTTCATGTAAAACAGGTACATGGATTTATGTGAAACCGAAAATATTTGATTCAAACAGAGCAACTGAGTAAGTGGCAAGAAAATTACCTGCGTGCTGCATCAAAGTTGCTTTTCACAAAATCATTGAAAGGCCGCATATGTTCTTCTTTTGTGAAGAGAACATGATTGGCAATACTCTGAAGTATCTACACAATAAAACAGGGTTATAAATAATCAGATTATTTATTGTATGAAGTCTATACATTAAGACATTCTTTAAAAACATGAATTTTCTCATTGATATAATTTCTGCTAGTACTTAAAAATCAAACATTCCTCATTCTATAAATTATTTTAGGTAGTGTTTCTAACCTTCCCAAATATAATTATTATATTTACATGTAAAAATACATATTAAAAATGTTTAATGACTTTTAAAATAAAAAATCCTATAGTCTACATTCTAGTCTGTTTCAGAATGTCTAGAATGATTACGCAAAAAATGATCTTCATAACACAAGACATCTGCTATAATAAAATGTTTTATCATGAAAATAAGGTCCATCAGGTACCTAACTAATGAATTCCTTTGTAATATAAACAAATAAAACAAAAGCACATAACTGAAAACCATAGGGTATTTCAAATATAAATGTAAGAGGAAGTACTGTAAGAAAAGCTGAAAATTTAGTTGGAAGGGGAATTTAAGATAGCTAGATTATCAAAATAATTCACCTTTGACATTAACTTCAAGCCCCTTTCGATTCTAGGTGGTGGCTTTTTATCTAAAATCCCTGCTTCATACGGTGAGACAATGGCAGGATTGATAAATCTGAGGAACATGGCACTTCCTACTGCACCGATGCTGTTCTGAGGGAAACGCTGGCTAACCACCTAAAAACAAGGAGTTGAGAATTGAGTATAAGGTTTGAATTAATATAAAGACATGAAAACAAAGAGTTCAAAGGTCAAACTTTGCATAAAAACTCTGAATCAATCAGTCCTCATGAATGACATATTTCTATTTTTTTCTTCTCCCAAAACATGAGAAAATAAAGTTTCCTCTCAATTCTAGTCTTATATCATATTAAAGTACAATTAAGGTATCTCAGAGGAAAGAAAAACCTCATGGATGAGATGGGTAGAAGAAACCTGAAAAAAGATCTTCACTGTATCATCACTTATACTGCATGTTTGATGAGTAATGAAAGCAGACCAAATTTTTCACACAAAGATGATCATAATTTACTAAGATTAACAGACATGAAAGTGTGGTCAACTTTATAACGTGAAACTAAATTTTCAACAGCACACCCCCAAAACATCCTATACCTGATAGTACATATTTACATTTTGTTGTGTACCAGTTACAATTGAATTTAAGAAAAAAATGCTTGCCATATACAAAATAAAATATTAGATTCTTACTGAGAAAAAAAAAAACTTACTTACAAGTAATGTTACTGCCAGTGCCTTTTCTTCACAGCTTCCTTTATAATACAAGAACCTACCTATTATTTAAACCATGGAGGGATGGGAATTCTTGGGGACCTAAAAGAAAAAAGGATCTCACCAGAAGAGAGAACCCCTATGTCTACCTCAATTTATAATTCTGTCAAATAAAAATAATTTAAGAACTCAAGAAATGGTTGTCCAGCCTGAAAAGCAATGTGAACCCAATATTTAAAATGGATGATTTTCCCTTTATAAAACATTCTACATTAAGATAAAAAGGTACCTTAGCTCGGGAAGAGTGCTATAAAACTGGTTCAGCTCCCATCCCTTTCCAGAGTCCCCTGCTTTAAATCATGTCATAGATGAAAATTATATTTTGCAGTTTACATTTTTATATATACTATATATGTTCATTTTTAAAGAACACTTAATGTAACATTTTAATCTCTACAGCTATTCTTGCTTAGTGCGGCTAAACTGCTGTTTAAAGTAGCAGTGACTACAAAACTGTAGCATTCCACTCAATATTCTGTGATGTCAAGGATAAACCTTCATTTCAAAGGATATTGGTGGGAGGGGACCCAGATTTACATGCGGAATATCACGTAGCTATTTTTTTCACAATGCTTCAATAAATATTTCCTGTCATAATTTATGACAGGAAATTATGACACAAATTATGACAGGCTGACTCCAGATTAACTCTGGAAAAAATGGGGATTATTTCACTTCATCTTGTTCAATGTAGTGCTTCATGCAGTCCACATTTTAAATGTGTTATCACTGCTTATAACCTCAAAATAGCTTTCTATAATCTCTAACAGGAAGTTAGTAAAAACTAGATTTTAGAGAAAATATTTGTAAGAGGTGATAAAAAGAGGTCAGTTGTAACTAATATAGTTCCATCTTCAGTTACACTACACATAGTTCAGGAAGCTTTCTTTATGTTACAGTGTTTATTGCATGAAGAACAACCTTAACCCTTAAATAAGGGGAAACTGGTGAAGGTGACTAAATATAGCTGCTTTATTAGAATGGCTTTAAAACCTAAATACCATTTATTTTTAGCTCAAATATATACATTTAGAATTAGATACAGAAGTTTTAGCTAAAACTATAGAAAGATGTAAAATTAAGAAAAAATTCCAGTGCTTTGACTATTCCAGTACGGTGTTGAACCTTCTGGGGACGAGGAACCTCTTTGAAATCTGATAAAGGTTAGAAAAATGAATGTATGCATTCACACACACAAAATTCTTCACATAATTTTAGAATATTCATAGACCATCATTGCTACTGAGTGGTTTTCTAAAACTCCCAAATTTTAATCTTAGACAATTCTCTGGCTGGGCGTGGTGGCTCATGCCTGTAATCCCAGCACTCTGGGAGGCCGAGGCGGGCAGATCACTTGAGGCTAGGAGTTCGAAACCAGCCTGGCCAACATGGCAAAACCCCATCTCTACTAAAAATACAAAAATTAGCTGGACATGGTGGAGCCACACCTGTAATCCCAGCTACTTGGAAGGCTAAGGCAGGAGAATCGCTTAAACCCAGGAGGTGGAGGTTGCAGTGAGCCATCGTGCCACTGCACTCCAATCTGGGTGACAGAGAGACTGTCTCAAAATAAATAAATAAATAAATAAATAAAGGCAGACAAAAGAAACCTATAACATTTTAAAGCCTTTAAGGAGTGAGTTAGCAGGAGGGAAAAGGATTAAAAACTGCTTTATAATTATTTTAAAATAGATTATTTTAAAAGAATTAGCATCTCATACGTTTAACTCATTAAAATTCTAAAAGTTTTTACAAAACTAAAACCCATAGTTTAATTTTCAAAGAACCAGTTAGTTTATAAAATGTTAACCTGCTGTGAAACACATGGAGAGCTTTCAAAATACTGTTTTATTTTTTATGCTAGTAAAATGAAGCACTGGGAGTGGAGAAGGAACAAGGAAATTTGTAATGGTTATCATCAATTAGACAAAATACTTCTTTGAAAGTAGCTATTTACCGGTTTTCTCTAGGACAAAGAAGTTTTAAAATGTGACTCATATTTACACCTGATTTAATGGTACTCAGCCTCAGAATTTAATGAAAAACTGAGTGATTTCCCAAAAGCATATTGTAAACTTTATGAAAAGTACTACACTTTTACCATCTTCCACATCTTTAAAAATAATTCATGTCAAAACCCAAAATATCGACACCTCAGGAACACATACTGTCTCATGTATCATATAAATATATGTATCACTGATGGCAGAATCAATATAATTTTGGAACTAAAAACTGATTTTAAAAACCAATAAAAATGCTACATAACAAGTTTCGTAAGTCAACTTATAAAAGGACTGTTTTTTTTTCATTCACCACTAATTGACATCAATGTAATTTTACCTCATAATACATACATGCTCTAGTGTTTTTTTTAATCCATAAAAATCTAATTTGGATCCAAAAGACATTCTGCATAAAAGGTCAAACTTGGGCCAGTCTGTGTGTTGAGACCAGTTATCAGCCAAATGTACCCTTTCTTCCCTTGGTAAAAGCTGACTACATAACGCGAATGCATGTAGTCATAAACTACACTTCAGCAAGAGCATTACTACCCATATATGCTTAGTTACTGCATTCTCCCTGAGTTAGGCAGACAGTTAACTTTCAAAGTAAACCTCATTATACACTATATATTTGAGAATAATAAACAGTTATTTGTAATGTGACTACACAGCTATATACTAGAAGCCAGATCTTCTCTCTATATTTTACATATTCCAATCCATGACATATACACCCAAAAAGAAAGTCAGCTTGCTCTTAAATATCATTAGGTTTTGTTAAAGCACACAACTCCATAAAACAACATTTTAAATTTATGAGTATACTGTCTTCATACTTTGGAATGTACTCTAAAATATCTCGAATTACCAATTAGATTCCCCTTGTTTCCATGAGGAGCTCGTATTACCTGTGCTGAGAAATACATTCCAAAACTTGGTGTTACCCAGAAATTAAAAAAAAATTTTTTGAAAATAACTCTAGTAGAAAAAAAAACATTTCAAGAAACAATTTTAGACATAATCTTAATAAATAAAGCAGTGTTAGAAAGGCTAGAAAACATGCTCTAGAGAAACACAGAAAGCCTGAATTTTAATTATGTGATACACTACAAAATGGCATTAGTATAACACTGAACAAGAGTGTTAGAAGCAGCAAATTAATTTCAACAATGATGGTGTACATTATGTTAAACTCACATATGCTGAGAATTAGAAGGCTGAAGCATTAGAAACGTCTTTATAATCCAATCAATTTGATCATAGCTAGGCAAATTTACTTAATATAATCAAAAATAAAATCTTCAATGGACACAACAAAAGTATATGTCTATAAATTTAAATTTTGATTTGAATTTTAAAAATCTATATTTAAAGCTTAGATAATTTATATGTACAGCTTAGAAACTTATATGTAAAGCTTTTTCGTTTTCTTTTTTTTTTTTTTTTTTTGTGAGACAGGGTCTTACTCTGTCACTCATGGTGGAGTACAGTGATACAATCACAGCTCACTGCAGCCTCAACCACCTGGGCTCAAGCAATCCTCCTGCCTCAGCCTCCCGAGTAGCTGGGACTACAGGAGTACACCACCACGCCTGGCTAATTAAAAAAAAAAAAAAATTATTTGTAGAGACGACTCGCTATGTTGCCCAAGCTGGTCTTTAACTCTTGGGCTCAAGAGATACTCCCACCTTGGTCTCCCAAAGTGCCCGGATTACAGGTATGAGCCACTGTGCCCAGCCATAAAGCTTTTATTATATGTAAAGTTTAGATAAGGCATGAAAGATGAAACCAGATGAACACTGTATTCTAAATTACACCCTTTTAAGAAAACTACCTACTTAGTTTTCTTTACATCTTACTCTACAATCATTTGGATTATATGAACAAAGACAGGGCTCAGCCTGATAAGTCACTGTGACAGATAATGGCAAATGTAAAATGAATGCATATTATATTTTGGACAAATTCCATTCACTGGAAGAAAATAATTACGACTCTCATAATTTTCTTCCTTTTAAATAAATCAAGGCAAGTTCATAGAAGCAGATAGTATATTCACATTATGTTTGCAGAATGATGTGTTTTTCTACAAATATGAACTCAGTTTTCTTTTATCTCAAAAGTACTATCTTATCATTTACCTCTTATTTTTTTGAGGTAAAAGTAGTTTTACCATTAAAATTTCTATAATCTATGCACAAATATCTAAATTATGCCTGAGACTGCCTAGATAAAAATATGAAGAGTAAAAAAATAAAATTTAGCAACTTTTAGGTAAGATTTAGAAAGTGACTCTTTCCCACCATATACTTCTAACAATTAAGAAACACTGTCATCTCTGGGAAAAGAAACCACTCACATTACCTTCAAACAAGAAGCAAGAATGAAGACAGTCAGCGTTTCCTAAGGCCTTGAAATTAAGTTTCTTTGCATTCATTTATAATTTAAAAAGTAACAATAATAAAATTAGACCAAGGATATCCAATGCAACAAATGCCCACAAATTGCCTTTGGGATAAATCAAACCAAAGGAACACAGAGAATGTTTCAATGTAACTTAATTCCAGGGTTAATTGAAATGAAAGCTATTTTGTGCCAGAATTAGTAGAATGATTTTACAGTGAAGGTCAAATAGGCTGAAGTGAAGATATTCTTAACAAACAGCAAAAGATTTTTGTTTTGCTTTGAAAGAAACAGCTAATAAAAAGTTCTCCAAACTTACTGATTTTTTGTTTTCCTTTTTTTCTTTTACTGTAGCTTTATTCAGTAGGGAGTGGCAAGTTGCCTACAGAACAGAGATGAGCACAAACAAGTCACAGCACCGACTACATACAGCAACAAAAACAATGTTGGCTTGTACATAAAATTACACCATAAAATGTAACACAAATGGAATCAACAAAAAATTAGAAATCAACTGAATTTTGAGGAATGAATTTTAATTCTGGGTTTTAATTTTTATTACATTTTTAAGCCAAGCACTAAAACAGCAAGAAATGTTGAGACCCAATCATGTCTACTATTTCTGGCTATGAATCACAGAAAAACTCTCTCCAAGTGAATTTGAGGATATTAAATATTTACATTTTGGTTAATTCCTAGCTTTTGAGAAATGTAATATAAAATATTCATTACAAGTAGATCACACACTAAAAACATTTGTGTCTACATAATTTTTTCTTGGTATGTAAAATTCTTCTCTGTGTATCCTTCAATTGACTTTAAGTTCTTTTTCCAACACCTGGCATTTAATTATGATCCTACTGAATAAAGAAATAAAAATTATATGGATAAATATAAAAATTCACTTTAGAAATTCTGAATTAAAGACCTCTCTCTCTAAAAAAGATTACTCTTAACATTTCACATATTTTTCAATGTTTGCAGGCTACTTCCTGAAATGGTTCTAATCAGAGGAGGTTAAAAGCTCTGCAACATTTGGGAGAAGAAGGTTATCAGCTCAACTAGTAAGAAGCATTAATATTATTAAAGTGAAGAAACTGCAGAGAAAATTACAGAACAAAACTGTAGGCCTGCTTAAAACTTTTCACATATTACAGTTGACCATTTATCAAAATATCTTAAAAAAAAAAAAAAAAAAAGCCACCTAAAAAACCCCCAAAACTCCAGGCACATATTGGTTTCATCTCTCAGAGCTCTTTCTAGACCAAAGATTTCTTTCAAAATTAAAAGACTCTTGATTGGACTAGCCTAGGCAGAATAATTATTTTAAAAATATTTTTAAAACCATGTTAGAATTATTTAATCCACAAATAGATGGCATCTTATTCTGGGAATTCTGGACATCCAACACCATAACCCATAACTTGGGCTTTAAGTTAGTTAGACATCCATTCATCCACCCACCCATTCATCCATCCAAAGAGTTACTGTGTACCTACAGGTCAAATACCATTCTAGGCATTGGGAAATAGCAGTAAAACAACAAGACACAGCCCCTTAGCTCACAGAGCTTTGTTTCAAACTTTAGACTATATACAAATGTATTAGTAACAGTGGTATATAACTATCATTTATAGCCTTAAAACTGTGTGTAAACTACTTCAGTTTGGAGAAGCAGATTTACTGAAAAAGGGTGAGATTTATTTAGAATCATAAATTAGTTCTTAGAATTCTCTCACCATACGAGAATATCCACTTTGGGAATCATTTTATCTTTATCCTAAAACCATCAGGAGAAGTGAAAACAACACATGAGAAAATGATTTAATTATAAATCTGACACATGTTCACAGTTGGCTATTCTTAAATAACCTTAATCCAGTCAACTAAGGAAGGAAGGTATATAAAGTAATAGAGCTGGTTAACACATGATTTGAAAAGGCTTAAAGGCCAAGATATGAACTCAAAAAAGGAGCTAAAGTCCAGGGAAGTTTATTAGCTAGCAATATACTCACTTCCCTTTCAACATTTCCCCAGTAGGTCCCAAAGGGACTACTATCCCTCCAGGCAGAACACAGAAGAGCAGGAAGGTACCTTTCTGTTACTGCCAAAGGCAAAGGGGCAAGAAAAAGCCAGAAGAGGGAAGATGAATAAAAACAAAAGAGCAAACCAAAAGAAATAAACTAGGTTTGGGAAGCAGACTCAATAAAATACTATCTTGAGACCAAAGCTTTTTTCCTATCTTTCTTTCTAATCAGTAAATGTAACATTCCCTGTTACCAGTTACTAATTAAAAAATAAAGCCTTATTTAATAACAACACAGCATGCTGTCTCTGCTCTTCAACAATGCTTTTACCCAATACTTAAACAATGCACTGATACCACCTTTAATTCATGTTTTTAAAGATAATAATTTTATGTGAAATTTTAACATAATAAACCAGGTTTGTTATTAAAATAATATAGGATATTTTACTGTGAAGTGCTCTAAAAAGCATAACATACTGTTTAATAATCACCACATATAGTGTTTAAAAATCTATTTTCACTATTTTCCTCCTTTCTTAGCTGTGAAAGCTGGCAAGAATCTTGTTTACTTAGGTGGGAGGGATGGGAAATTTATTTCTTCATTAAATATTTCCTAAGTACTAAATAAGTGCTAAGACCTGTTCCTTTTACATTATTAGAATCATGGTCTCAAAACGGTCTCCAACTTTGCTCATGATACAAAAAGATTTTTCTTTTAGGATGACAACCACATGAAGAAATTCTACTACAATCTCCTAGACCATGTAATCATGTAGTCAGTCCCCATTCACTTTTAACCAGCTAAAGTCAAAGCCTCTGTCATTTTAGAAACCCACTTGCTCTCTGAAACCAGTTACTACTAGGCCAACCAAGAAGCTGACCCAGACTATTTTTAATATGTGCTATTTCCTGTCTGCCTAGTTTCATCAATAGAACAATTACTAAATAAAATTTAAAGAGAAACCTGAATACAGCCCAAACTTGAGAAGATATTCACTGTATTAAGTTTCATATTATAACTAAACTACCCTTTAGACTCAGACTTAACTAGTTGAAAAAACTATACAGGATTTTCCTAAGTTTCCTTGAGCCTTTTTGTAAAGGCAGAAAAGTCATGATAAATTAAGAGAGACAAGGTTAAGTATGTTTTATCATCTATGTATACCGTGAAAAGCTTTTTTACAGATAGAACAGATACATCTTTAAAAATAGCAATGGTGAAAAAATTCACATAGAGCAGCCTCAAACAGCTTTTAAAATGGTGATTTCAATGATGCTGTTAACGTCTCTAAGCAACTGAAGCCGTGTGCTAAAAAAGCAAATGGCTGCGATGACTCTGCAAAGAGAGAGACACAAAGACATGGGTTTTGATAACTGTGTATTTCCCTTATATCCACCCCTATCCCAAATTCCAGACCCACTAATGTTTCTTCCAGAATCACAGTTTCCAAAAGGCTAATATGCATTTGCAGGACCTCCCTTGGAATAAATAATTCCTAAAACTGCAATGTGCAATTCAAAAACACAGTAGAAGACATAAAAGAACATAGACCGAATTCCCTAAAAAAGAAGGCCATGACTATGGCTATTTTCTGAGTTCAGACGCATTACTTGCAGTGCTAGTGTTAGAAGGTCTAATAATTTGGTCTGAATGATGATGCAGTATCTCTTTTAAGAAATATGCTACATAAAGTAAACAGAACAATCAGTCTATCCTGGGAAAACCTGACACAAACTAATTATACATTAATGAAGAAACCAAAATCACAGATGATCAAGCAATTCACAATGCAAAAAGCAAGGAGGAGACCCGCCTCAACTGTGAAACACCCTGTAAATAATTTAGGTTAATAGATGACAACAACAAAAATCCATAATATGTTCATTTCAGCCACATCCATCATACCCAATGGATTCACTGCATTTTAAACTTGCTCCCAATGCAAGTAAAATTTAGTATTTTAAAGTATTCTCTTACTTCAAACTGTTGCCTAAGTAATATTTAAGTTTTTTTCAAAGACAATTCCAACAATTCTCAATGTATTATTCATCCAAACTGACTCAGTATTATAGTTAACCACACACCATCAGCAGCTAGATCCTTCTTTGATAAAGCATTCTTCATAATTTAACTTTAGATTAATAATGGTAATCTCTAACTGTAAGCATACCTGGTATAAACAGTGGCACACACTTCGAAGTTGAGGGGGGAATTCTGAGGAGGAACTGATGATGGCATGGAAGAACTTTTCAGTCATCTGAAGGAGGTTCCGCTGGTTTTCCTCAAGGCTCTCTGATGGTTCTAACCTACAAAAAAATAAAAATAAAATCCTAACACTTTTGTTTAAAACAAATAACAAAAATCACTCCTTAAAAGAGACTCTTATACAGACATTAAGCCAAGTGCAACGTGTAGACTTCATTGGAATCTTTAAACAACCAACTATAAAAAAAAAAAAGACAACTTTGACAGGGCTGGATGGCTTACGCCTGCAATCCCAGTACTTTGGGAGGCCAAGGCTGACAGATCATTTGAGGTCAGGAGTTCAAGACCAGCCTGGCCAACATGGTGAAACCCCATCTCTACTAAAAATACAAAAATTAGTCAGGTGCCTGTAATCCCAGCTACTCAGGAGGCTGAGGCAGGAGAATCACTTGAACCTGGGAGGTGGAGGCTGCAGTGAGCCAAGACTGCACCACTGCACTCCAGCTTGGATGAAAGGGCAAGACTGAATCTCAAAAATAAAAATAAAAAAAAAGACAACTTTGAGATAACTGAAAAAAATTTAACAGAAAACTAGTCTTAGATATATTATTCAGGATTATTAACTTTAATTTGTGTGGAAATACTCAGGCTGCACATGCACGTGTATGTGTGTTTAAGTCTGTATATGTTAGAAACATGATCTCTGAGATATGCTTTAAAATACCCAAGCAACAAAAGGGGGAGAGAGGGGACAGATAAAACAAGAATATCATGTATTTTTCCAATTCACAATCCTCTATGTGTATATGCCCATATGAAAAAATTAACACACACATATGAATGATGCAGGTGTTTTTTTTTTTTGGTGGGGGGTGGGGGCGGGGGATGGAGTTTCACTCTCGTTGCCCAGGCTGGAGTGTGATGGCGCAATCTCAGTTCACTGCAACCTCCGCCTCCCGGGTTCAAGTGATTCTCCTGCCTCAGCCTCCCAAGTAGTTAGGATTACAGGCATGGGCCACCACGCCCGGCTAATTTTATATTTTTAGTAGAGACAGGGTTTCACCATGTTGGTCAGGCTGGTCTCAAACTCCCGACTTCAAGTGACCCACCTGCCTCGGCCTCCTAAAGTGCTGGGATTACAGGCATAAGCCACCACGCCCGGCTGAATGATGTAGGTCTTTACTTTTTTCATCAATAGTAACAAAAGGCAACTTTCATCTTTCACTCTACATTATGTTTCTGAGATTTATCCATGTTGATAGATGAAGATATAGTTCACTTTACTGCATAATAGTCTATTGTATACCATGATTTATCTATTCTCTAATTATAATGAACATTAAACATTTTTCACCTTTACAAACACCATTGCAATGAACATTCTTGCACATAAGAGATTCTCTAAGGCAGCTACCTAAAAATGAAATTTCTGAGTTATTGAGTATATGCAGATATAACTTTACTAGATATTGCCAAATAGCTCTAAAACTAGTACTGTATAAGAATTCTTATTCCCCTCCAATCTAGCAGTTGAGTAAAACATGAGGTAGCTCATGTTTTTAACTTCTATTTCCACAGTTCCTACTAAGGTTAGACATGCTTTTAGATATTTTGTGGCCATTCAGGTTTCCCCTATCTTGAACTGCATTTCACATCCAGTCTGACATTTCTAACTGCTAGATGTCCCCTCCCCACTGGTATCTAAAAATCAGTATGCCCCAAATTAACTGATTTTTCCTCGTACTCTTATGTCTTATCATGTGCTCTATGTTATCAATAGCACTATCACTTTCTTAATCACATCATTCAGGCCATCTCTGATGTCACTTTTTCCTGCTCTACTTCATTATTCCCCATATCCAATCAGTATTGCTTTTTTTTTTTTTTTTTTGAGATGGAGTCTTGCTCTGTTGCCGGGCTGGAGTGCAGTGGCACAATCTCGGCTCACTGCAACCTCCGCCTCCAGGTTCAAGCAATTCTCCTGCCTCAGCCTCCCAAGTAGATGGGACTACAGGCGCACCACCACCACGCCCAGGTAATTTTTGTATTTTTAGTAGAGACAAGGTTTCACCATGTTGGCCGGCATGGTCTAGATCTCTTGACCTTATGATCTGCCCACCTCAGCCTCCCAAAGTGCTGGGATTACGGTCATGAGCCACCGTGCCCGGCCCAGTGTTGCTAACTCTTATCAGTACCACCTCTAAACTCTGATGTTGTGATTAAAGGAAGAGATTCCGCAGGCAGACTTACTAGGTTTAAATTTCAGCTCTATCAGTTATCAATCATTATGAGTTGGTCACAATCCTTAAATTCTCTGGGTGTCATTTTTTCTCATCAATAATACAGGACTAATAATGCCTACTTTATGTAGTTTAAATTTTACCCAATAGTAATCAAATCCACAAACCTTTACTCTCTAACTAGCCTAATCTGAACTCTCAAAATACACCCCTTATGAAACTCACCACTTATCTGTTGTGTGTTTTATCCCTCTTACTAAACTGTAAGCTCCTTGAAGGAAGTATTTACCTATGTCCCCTTAAAGACTAGCACAGTGCCTTACCACAGCAAGTACTGAGTAAATATTTGTTTTTAACAGGTTAATTAGTAATTTTGTTTCTATATTAATTAACGTATTACAGAAATGCTTTGGACACTTACGTCATTGCTGTAGATTCCTTAGAGTTTGCTGTGTGGCACAGCATATGAATACAGTAAGAGTTCAGAAATTAGCATGGACTGCAAAGCAAGAAATACTTCATTGAACAGGTGAGTTCTAAAGGAGGCACAGAATTTGCATAGACAAAAGAAGTAAGGGTATTTCAGAAAGAGAAAGTAGGTGCGGCAGGTAATCAATCCAATAAATATTTAGTGCACATCTACTATCTGCCATCTTAGTATCAGGTGCTGAGGATTCAACAATTGCCTTTTGACCTTTTCAAAAAGGAGAAAGACATATAGACCAGGTATTCCACACTAAGTACTCAATACAATAATTCAAGGGTATTGTGATAAATATATATTTGGTCTCTGCTCCTGATTCCTGATACATTGCTCTTAAAACCCTTGGAATCTCTGGAAGTGCTGAGTGTCTTTTATATGATAATGAGATGACTGGTGGCTGGGAGGTCCTAGGGAGCTTCAAGACGGGGCTAGTCACCAGAAAGACCAAGTTTCGATTAGAGGGTTGAGACTTTCAGCCCCACTCCCCAACCTCCAAGGAGAGGAGAGAGGCTGAAGGTGAGTTTATCACCAATGACCCATGATTTAATCAATCATGCCTATATAATGAGGTCACCATAAAAACCCAACGAACAGAGTTTGAAGAGCTTCCAGGTTGCCGAACACATAGAGGTGCCTGGAGGGTAGTGCACCTGGAGACAGCATGGAAGCTGCAAGCCCCTTCCCACATGCCTTGCCCTATGTGCATCTTTTCCATCTGGCTGTTCATCTGTATCCTTTCTGATATCCTTTATAGTAAGTAGGCAAACAAAAGTAAAGTATGCCCCTGAGTTCTGTGAGTCCTTCTAGCAAATTAATCCAACTCAAGGTGAAGTTGTGAGAAGCACAGGTAACAACCTGGGGCTTGTAATTGGCATCTGAAGTGGTAGCAATCTTACTCAGCCCTTATCCTATGGGAAATCTGATGCTCTCTCCAGGTAAACAGTGTCACGGTTGAACTGAATCACAAGGACACCTGGTTGGTATCTATTGGAGAATGGCTGATGGTTGTTAGGAAGCCAGAGGAGGAAAATGAACTTGCAATATGTGGCTAATTGAAGAGACAGCCTAAATATGGGGATTATATGCAGGGAGAACAGTTAAGCTACAACAGTAATCCAAATCTTAAGATATGGAGGTCTAGGAGTTGGTAGGTATGAATGAGATTAACAATTTCTTTAACAAGGCTCAAAGAGACTGCTAGAAACCCTGACAATTGCCTACTTTGTGAAATTTTTTTTTTGAGTCAGCATAGCAGCAGGTACACTGCAGTCCATTTCAGGTTTCCCTCTAAAACAATACCTTCTAGCCACAGTGCTCTCTTGCTTCCCACATGCCAATGGTAACCTGTTGAATATTCTACTAATTCTGAACTACAATGAACATTTGTGTTCAATTATTCAAGTGTTCCTGTGTATAAAACTTTTCCCAAGTTGATTTTCAAAGAACTAGCTTGAGAACTGGAGGTGGAGCAAGATGGCTGAATGGAGGCCTCCAGGGATCGTCCCCCTTATTGGAACACCAACTTGAACAACCATCCATACAAAAAAGCACCTTCATAAGAACTGAAAATCAGGTAAGTGATCACAATACCTGGTCTTAACATCATATTAAGGAAGAGGCACTGAAGCGGGTAGGAAAAACTGTCTTGACTTACCTATACCACCCTTCCTTCACCTCCTGGCAGTGGCCCCGTGGTGTGCAAAGAAAATCTGCATTTGGGGGACGGACAGCACAGTGATTATGGGACTTTGCATTAGGACTAAATGCTGCCCTGTCATAGCAGAAAGCAACACAGGGCAGAGCTCAGCTGGTGCTCAAGGATGGAGAACTTAGAACAGACCTAGCCAGAGGTAAATCACCCATCCCAGCTGTTGAAACCTGAGTTCCAGCAAGCCCCACCACCAAGAGCTAAAGTGCCCTGAGGTCCTAAATAAACTTGAAAGGCAGTCTAGGCCCACAAGGACTGCAGTTTCTGGGTAAGTCCTGGTGCTGTGCTGGGCTCAGAGCCAGTGGACTTGGGGTGGACCTAGTGAGACAGCCAGGGCAACCAAGGGAATGCTTACATCACCCCTCTCCCAAACCCAGGCAGCTCAGCTCAGCTTGTAGCTCCAACAGAGATGCCTTCCCTCTGTTCAAATACAAGAGTGGAGAGAGTAAAGAGGACCTTGTCTTGTAACTACCAGCTTAGCCACAGTAGGAGAGGGCACCAGGCAGAGTCCTGAGGCCCCCATTTCAGGCCCTACCTCACAGACAACACTCCTAAACAAACCCTGGGCCAGAAGGAAATCTGCTGTCTTAAAAGGAAGGACCCAGTCTTGGCAGAACTCATCACCTGCTGACTAAAGAGCCCTTGGCCCCTGAACAACCAGGAGGGATAGCCAGGCAGTACTTGCTGTGGGCCTTGGGTGAGACTTGGAGACATGCTGGCTTCAGGGGTGACCCAGCACATTACCAACTGTGGTGGCTATGGAGAGAGACCCCTTCTGCTTGAGGAAAGAAGAGGTAAGAATAAAGGGGACTCTGTGTTGCAACTTGGGTACCAGCTTGACACAGTGGGGTAGGGCACTAAGTAGGCTCCTGGGGTCCCAGATTCCAGGCCTTGGCTCCTGGAAAACTTTCCTGGACCTGCCCTGGGTTAGAGGGGAGCCCCAAGGCCTTAAGGGAGAGACTCAGAACTGGCAGCATTCACCATGAGCTGAATGAAGAGCCCTTGGGCCTTGAGTGAACATCAGTGGTAGCCAGGCAGCACTCACCATGGGCCTGGGGCGATGGCGGCCATGGGAAAAGACTCCTCTGCTTGAGAAAAGAGGACGGAAGAGCGGGAAGGACTTTGTCTTACAGCTTGGGTGCCAGCTTAATGCTTAGCCGCAGCAGAATAGAGCACTAGGTAGATCTCTGATGTACCCAACTCTAGGCTCTGGCTCCTGAATGGCATCTCTGGACCCACGGAGAACTCACTGCCTGAACGAAAGGACGCAAGCCTGGCTGGGTTTGCTACCTGCTGACTGTAGAGCCTTTGGGCCTTGAGTGAACATAGGTGGTAGTCAGGCAGCAGTACTGCAGGCCTTGGGCAAGACCCAGTGCACTCCCAGTGCTGGTGTCCACAGGGCTGCTTGTGTCGCCCCTCCCCCAGCTCCAGGCAGCTCAACACACACACACACACACACACACACACAGACAGAGAGAGAGACTGACTCTGTTTGTTTAGAGGAAAGTAAGGGAAGAGAAGAAGAGAACAAGAGTCTGTTTGATAACCCAGGGAATTCTCCAGGATCTTATGCAAGACCACCAAGGTGGTACCGCTATGAGTGTACAAGAGCCACAGCGTTATTGGGCTTGGAGTGTCCCCTAAAGCAGATATAGCTGCAGTGACCAAAGACTTAAGATAACAACACCCAAGTGCCTTCAAATACTTGGAAAGCCTTCCCCAGAAGGGTGGGTACAAACAAGCCCAGACTACAAAGACTACAAAAATACCTAACTCTTCAATGCCCAGGCACTAATGAACATCCATAAGCATCAAGACCATCCAGAAAAACATGACCCACCGAAGGAATTAAAGAAGGCACCAGTGATCAATCCTGGAGAGACAGCGATATGTGACCTCTCAGACCGAGGAGTCAAAATAGCTGTTTTGAGGAAGCTCAAGGAAATCCATGATAATGTGGAGAAGGAATTCGGAATCCTATCAGATAAATTTAACGAAGAGATTGAAACAATTACAAAGAACCAGAGAGAAATTCTGGAGACGAAAAATGCAGCTGACATACTGAAATATGCATCAAGAGTCTCTTAAAAGCAAAATTGATGAAGCAGAAGAATTAGCAAGCTTGAAGGCAGCCTATATGAAAATACACAGAGGAGACAAGAATAAAGAATGAAGCATGCTTACAAGATCTAGAAAACAGCCTCAAAAGAGCAAATTTAAGAGTTACTGGCCTTAAAGAGGAGGTAGAGGCGGAGGGTGCAGTGAGCAGAGGTTGCACCATTGCACTGCAGCCTGGGCGACAAGAGTGAACCTCCATCTCAAAAAAAAAAAAAAAAAAAAAAAAAAAGAGAACTTATGAAACCTAGGGAAAGATATTTATCAATATTCAAGTCCAGGAAGGTTACAGAACACCAAACAGATTTAAACCAAAGAAGATTAACTCAAGGTATTTAATAATCAGACTCCCAAAGGTCAAGGATAAAGAAAGGATCCTAAAAGCAGCAAGAGGAAAGAAACAAATAACATACAATGGAGCTCCAATATGTCTGGCCCCAGACTTCTCAGTGGAAACCTTAGAGGCCAGGAGAGAGTGGCATGACATATTTCAAGTGATAAAGAAAAAAAAAAAACTTTTACCTTAGAACAGTATCCAGTGAAAATATCCTTCATATATGGAGAAATAAAGACTTTCCTAGACAAACAAAAGCTGAGGGATTTTATCAATGCCAGACCTGTCCTAGAAGAAATGCTAAAGGGAGTTCTTCAATCAAAAGGAAAAGGACATTAACAAGCAATAAGAAATCTGAAGGTACAAAATTCACTGGTAACAGTAAATACACAAAATATTATAACACTGTAATTGTGGTATGAACTACTATCTTGAGAAGACTAAAAGATGAACCTTTTACAAATAACTACAGCTTTTCAAGATACAGACAGTATAATAAGGTATACATAAAAACAACAAAAAGTTAAAAAGTAGGGGGATAAAGTTAAAGTGTAGAGTTTTTATTAGTTTTCTTTTTGCTTCTTTGTTTGCTGCTTTATGCCATCAGTGTTAACTTGTCATCAGCTTAAAAGAATGGCTCATAAAATATTATTGGCAAGCCTCATGGTAACCTCAAATCAAAAACATACAACAGATGCACAAAAAATAAAAAGCAAGAAATTAACACATATCATCTGTGAAAATCACTTTTACTAAAGGGAAGGCAGGAAGGAAGAAAAGGAGGAAGAGAAGACCACAAAACCACCAGAAAACAAATAACAAAATAGCAGGAGTAAGTCCTCGTCAATAATAACACTGAATGTAAATGGACTAAATTCTCCAATCAAAAGACGTAAGAGTGATTGAATGGATTAAAAACAAACAAAAATAACCCATGACCCAACAATCTGTTGCCTACAAGAAACAGACATCATCTATAAGGAAAAACACAGACTGAAAATAAAGCAAAGAAAAAAGATATTCCATGGCTGGGCATGGTAGCTCATGCCTGTAATCTCAGCACTTTGGGAGACCGAGGCGGGTGGATTGCTTGAGGTCAGGAGTTTGGGACCAGCCTGACCAACGTGGTGAAACCCTGTCTCTACTAAAAATACAAAAATCAGCTGGGCATCGTGGCAGGCACCTGTAATCCCAGCTACTCAGGAGGCTGTGGCAGGAGAATCACTTGAACCCAGGAGGCAGAGGTTGCAGTGAGCCAAGATCACGCCACTACACTCCAACCTGTGTGACAGAGCAAGACTGTGTCTCAAAACAAACAAACACACAAACAAAATACACATGGCAAACAGGTACATGAAAAGGTGCTCAACATCACTGATTATCAGAGAAATGCAAATCAAAACTACAATGAGATATCACATCACCCTAAAGTTGCTTTTATCCAAAAGACGGGCAATAACAAATGGTGACAAGGAGAAAAGTGAGAAAAGGGAACCCTCATACACTATTGGCAGGAATGTAAATTAGTATAATACTATGGAGGACCATTTGGAGGTTCCTCAAAAAACTAAAAATAAAACTACTATATGATCCAGAAATCTCACTACTAGGTATATACTGAAACAAAAGGAAATCAGTATATTGAAGACATATCGGCACTCCCATGTTTGTTGCAGCACTATTCACAATAGCCTACATTTGGAAGCAACCTAAGTGTCTGTCCACAGAAGAATGGATAAAGAAACTGTGGTACATATACACAACGGAGTACTATTCAGACACAAAACATGAGATTCCTGTCATTTGCAACAACACGGATGGAACTGAAGGTTATGATGTTAAGTGAAATAAGCCAGGCAAAGAAATACAACATCGTGCGCTCTCTTATTTGTGGAAGCTAAAAAAATTAAAACAATTGAACTCATGGAGATAGAGAGTAGAATGATAGTTACCCAGAGGCTGGGAAGTGTAGTGGGGGGTGGGGAAGGGGAGACCGGGGATGGTTAATGTGTACAAAAGAATATAAATGAGATCTGGTTATCTGATAGCACAAGGTGACTACAGTCAACAAGAACTTATTGTACATTTAAAAATCACTAAAAGAGTATAATTGGATTGTATGTAACATAAAGAAACGATAGGCCGGGCACGGTGGCTGACGCCTGTAATCACAGCACTTTGGGAGGCCAAGACAGGCGGCTCGCCTGAAGTCAGGAGGTCAAGACTAGCCTGGCCAATATTGTGAAACCCTGTCTCTACTAAAAATACAAAAATTAGCCAGGCATGGTGGTGGGCACCTGTAATCCCAGCTACTCGGGAGGCTGAGGCAAGGAGAATTGCTTGAACATGGGAGGCGGAGGTTGCAGTGAGCCAAGATAGCACCACTGCATTCCAGCCTGGGCGACAAGAGTGAAACTCTGTCTCAAAAAAGAAAAAAGAAAGGATCAATGCTTGAGGTGATGGACACCCCATTTACCCTGAAGTGATTACTACACATTCCATGTCTGTATCAAAATATTTCATGTACCCCATAAATATAAACACCTACTATGTACCCACAAAAAAATAAAAATTAAAAAATAAAAAGATCTAGCTTTGCGTTTCATTATTTTTTTCCTATTTTTAATTTCATTGATTTCTGATTCCTCCCCCCATCTTGCTTTAGGTATTGCTCTTTGTCTAGTTTTCTAAGGTGAGAGCTCAGATAATTCATTTTAGATTTTCTTTTCTAACATACATTTAACACTGCTAAGCAACTGCTTTTATTAAACCCCACAAATTTTGATGTATTTTCATTTTCATTTATTCTTCTGTTTGTCTTTGCATTTCAGTTTGGGAAGTTTCTCTTGATATAACTACAAATTCACCAATTCTTTCTTCAGTGGTGCCCAGACTACTGATAAGCCCACTAAAGGAATTCTCCCTGTTACAGCTTTTTTCTCTAGCCTTCTCTTTTGATTCTTTCTTAATTTCCATGTCTCTGCTTACATTACCCATCTGTTCTTACACACTGTCCATTTTCCATGAAAGCCCTTAGCATATTAGTTATTTTAAACTCTCAGTTTGACAATTTCAAAGTTCCAATACATCTTGCCACATCTGAGTCTGATTCTGATGCTTGCTTTGTCTCCTCAGACTAATTTTTCATTTTTTGTTAGCATGCATTGTAATGTTTTGTTGAAAGCCAGACAAGATGTATTGGGTCATAGGAACTGAGGTAAATTGGACTTTAGTGTGAGGCATTCTGTTAATCTGCCTAGAAGTTAGGTTATGTTTAATGTTCGCTGTAACTGTAGGCGCCCATTTCCTCTAGTGCTCTTATTTCTGTCTCTTTTGTTGTCCCTGGGTTTCCCCGTTAACTGGGATACTGGGGAAGGGAAGTACTCTACAATCTGATTATATCTCCATTGTTTTATTGGGCCAAATTCCTTAAAGTGTGACCTTCAAAGAGTTTCTTTTTTTTTTTTTTTTAGACAGAGTCTCGCTCTGTCGCCCAGGCTGGAGTGCAGTGGTGCAAATCTCAGCTCACTGCAACCTCCACCTCCTGGGTTCAAGCGATTCTCCTGCCTCAGCCTCCTGGTAGCTGGGACTACAGGCACGTGCCACCACACCCAGCTAATTTTTTGTATTTTTAGTAAAGACAGGGTTTCACCATGTTAGACAGTATGGTCTCGATCTCCTGACTTCGTGATCTGCCCACCTCAGCCTCCCAAAGTGCTGGGATTACAGATGTGAGCCACCAGGCCAGACTCAAAGAGTTTCTTAGCCTTTTCTCTCTTCTTACAGAAACGCTAGAGGGGGCTGGAGGTGGCTAACTTCTAAGTCAAATAAAGCTCTGGTAAAGTAATTTCTCCTGAGGGCAAACCTTTGCTAGGGATAACAGAACACTGTGGTCATATTTAAAAATGGCTACTTTTCCCCTTCCCCTGCCCAAAGCATAAAGGGATTTTTCTCCTATCTTCACCATGAGAGCCTGATGAGGCTTCTGGAGGTAAAACTTACAAAGGTGCAGGGGTCCCTGCAAGACTAGGCCCCTAGGAGTTTTAACTCTCTAGGCACTCCATGCTCAGCCTCCAGCAACTCGTCAATTATGATCTAAGCTTTCCTACCAGTTACTGGCTCCAGCAGCTTCTTCTCCTGGTAAACTGTGATTCTCTGTATACATTTACCTGTCTCTCCAGTTTTTGGAGTGGACTTAAATTCTCTGATGGATCTAAGAGCTGCTGATTTTCAGTTTTTTAGCTTTTTTCATGTTGTGAACACAGGAGTGTTGACTTTCAAGCTCTTGACATGTCAGAGTGGGCCTCAGTTTGATTTTAAGCAACCTGAGTATATTGTTTGCCATCTAGTTCTCTTATCTGGACCACAGCACTTTGTATAGTAAACTTATTTGAAGCAGCTGGTTCACTCTCTAAGTAATTCTTTAACCTTTAGAAAGTAAAATTGCTTAATAATAAGATTCAGTAAAATTGTAGGGCACAAAATTAACATAAAATCCGTAATAATGTATTATGTACACTTGAAAATTGCAAAAAAAAAAAAAAAAAGTAGACATGAGAAGTTGTCAAGAAAAAAACTGAAAGTGCTTAATGGCAAGAAAATACAAGGCTTTACAAAACATTGCTTTGGCCAGGCGTGGTGGCTCACATCTGTAATCCCAGCACTTTGGGAGGCCACAGCATGTGGATCTCTTTAGTCTAGGAGTTTGAGACCAGCCTGGGCAACAAGGCAAAACCTCGTCTCTACCAAAATACAAAAATTTTGTATTTTGCATGGTGGTGCATGCCTGTAATCCCAGCTACTTGGGAGGCTGAGATGGGAGAATCGCTTGAGTCCTGCACAGGAAGGTTGCAGTGAGCCGAGATGGTGCCACCGCACTCCAGCCTGGGTGACAGAGTGAGACCCCATTTCAAAAAATAAGAAGTAAATAAAAATATAAAAATTGCTTTTAAGTTTTTAACTATTTTAACAAAAATTGGCTTAGTGCTGGAGTTCTGAATAGATATTACAGTTGATACTTCAGCAAATGCAGAGCCAAAAATATCAACTGATACACAGTTGCTAAATAATGATTATTTAGGAAGAACAATCATCAAGAAGCTCTGAACTTAAAAGTAAAAAATAAAGTCCTAACTGAAAGACAGACAAGAACATCTTAACATGTGGCTTAGAAAAAGCAAGCATAAGATATTCCGTTAAAATTCATTCACTTAACAAATATTTATAAAATGTTCACTATAAGGCAGACACCATGCTAAATATTCATGGAAGGATATAAAGATGTAAAAATGTAAAAGAGCAAACAGTCTAGAGGAGAGAGAAACTCATAAATCGTCACAATTGTTACAATGGTGGTGCACAGCACAGAACAAAGCATATTTCTTTGTTCGTGGGTAGTACCTGGTAACAAGCAGAGAAAGCTTCACAGAAATGGTGGTTTAAACTGCACTCTGGGCTGGGCATGGTGGCTCACACCTGTAATCCCAGTATTTTTGGAGGCCAGGGCAGGCGGATCACCTGAGGTCAGGAGTTTGAGACCAGCCTGGCCAAGATGGTGAAACACCATCTCTATTAAAAATACAAAAAAAAAAAAAAAATTACCTGGGCGTGGTGGCGCACACCTGTAATCCCAGCTACTCAGGAGGCTGAGGCAGGAGAATCACACGAACCTGGGAGGCAGAGGTTGCAGTGAGCCGAGACTGCGCCAGTGCACCCCAGCCTGAATGGCAGAGTGAGACTCTGTCTCAAATTTTTAAAAAAATGACAAATAAATAAACTGCAGCCTGCATTACCTATTAGCCTCTTTCCCTTCTCCTAAGTCACTCCTCATCATAGAAGAAGTGAGTTAGAAAAAGAGTATGCATGCAAGTGACTGCATATGAATATGTAAATGCATGGAAAAAGGACAGGGGAACAGACTTAACTAGTAACAGTCTCTGGAGGTGGAAGTCAAAGACACCTTTCTCTAGTTTGTCCCTGGATCTAAGGCAAATAAAAGGATACCTTAAAAAAAAATTACAGATATCATTAAAGAAACGTGTATTTGTATATAACTTTTATAATTAAAAACTAATTTTAATGATCAAGGGGAGAAGGTGCCTTGCTTCATGCAGTGTTAGTAAAACAAACAAACAAAAAAAAAAAAACAAAAAACAGCGGTTCTATGTGAAAAGATGACAAACCTGGTAGGATCCACTTCAAAGCTAACATGTTGCCAATCAGAGGATGTGATCACAATTCGTAATAAAGGATCCAGGAGTTTTTGTAGATAGGTAGCACCATATACCTACAGAAATGCACGAATAGGAGTTTATTATACCTGCTCCATATATTTTACCTTAAAAGAAGACAATCAGCCCTGCACATTCTGTACATAATCATTACTTGACATACCTCAGCACACACATACACACAAAATGAATGATACAAACCTTGAAACAGAATGTCATTATTTTACTGGCCAAGCTGTTGCCTCGGAAGAGAGTCTGCATGGAGTCTGCCAATTCTACTTCTTTAGAAAACATGTTCCAGAGCAGTTGGTAGAGTAAATGCCGAGAATCAAACAGAGTAACCAGAACTCGAGCTAGTTCATCCTGAGAACAAAACAAAATCAGGTTAGTGCAAACAATCCCATTTTTATTCTTAGGTAGGAAGCTAAAGAGTAGCAAAAATGTAAACCCAAAGTTGACAACCACTTGCTAAATTAAGGCAAATGATGACTGATTAATATTTATCCTGAGATTTAACAGTGTACATTGTTTATGATAGATGACTATATACAATGTCTATGATAGCTGTTAATTCCAAGGATTAACCGGTAAAAGCTATTAAGAGAGGCCTACGCTTTACTAGGAGACAAAATCTCCAAGATTCAGCTCAAATTACATCACAAAATGAAAGAGAGCAGAAACAGAAGATGACAGCAAAGAATTTAGTTTGATTTGTACAAGCATTTGCACAGAGCAGAAATAAGATTGATGATCAGAAGAGTTCTACTCTCTTCTCATACAGTCGGGGAACTCAGCGAATACTGAATATATACTAGGCAGAGACACAACAAAAACAGAAAGACTATAGGATTTTTGAGAAACCAGGAAGAAAAGGAATTGGGCATTCAGAACCCAGAGATGAGCCAGATTTACATACAAAGCTAGGGTCACAAGGATGAGGGCTGAAATTTCTATCTATTACCTAAATGACATCCTTTATAACTCTCTGTAGTAAAACAGTTTGGGGTACACTCAAGAAAAAATGATCTAATGGTAAATCACTGTTTAATCACATGATAAGAAGAAATTTATAGATAATAGGGGTAGCCATAAAAAGATGCCTCAATCCTCAAGCAGTAACAACAAAGGCCAGGATCATGGCTCATAGCTCTCTAATTCTTGCCTGATCCAAGGATTACAATAATGTGGTAGGTGAGATCTGGCCTAACAGAAAATTCCTTCTCAAAGTCATTTAATATAAAACTCAACGAATTAAAGCTACTTGAACTAAATGATTCTTTTTTTTTTTTTTTTTTTTTTTTTTGAGACAGAGTCTCGCTCTGTCGCCCAGGCTGGAGTGCAGTGGCGAGATCTTGGCTCACTGCAACCCTCCTGGGTTCACACCATTCTCCTGCCTCAGCCTCCCAAGTAGCTGGGACTATTGGCACCTGCCACCACGCCCAGCTGATTTTTTTGTATTTTTTTAGTAGAGACAGGGTTTCACGGTGTTAGCCAGGATGGTCTCGATCTCCCGACCTTGTGATCCTCCCGCCTCAGCCTCCCAAAGTGCTGGGATTACAGGCGTGAGCGACCACACCCGGCCCTTAACTGATTCTTTATTTAAAAAATTACTATTTTCAGTGCTAATTATAGGTAGATGCTAATAAGATAATTCAGAATATCCATTTTCAAAACATTTGAACATTTCTGAAATTTAGGCTTCAAGGAGGTTTCAATAATTTGGGGCTGTTGCTAATCAATGAGTATAAAATTTCAGTTATACAAGGTAAGTTCTAGAGATCTGCTGTGCAGCATTGTGCCTACAGACAGCAATACTGTATTATACACTTAAAAATCTGTTAGAGGGTAGATCTCATGCCAGGTGTTCTCACCAAAATAAAATACCAGAAGAGAAGCATTTCAGGTGGTGGCAGCAGCAAGGGTGCTCTAAAGCAGAAATAAGTCTAACAAGGAGGGACAGAAAGGTAGCTGGTGTGGCTCTGGTGAACAAGAAAGAAAATAGCATAAGATGATGTTAGAGATGAGGTAGGGCCCAGATCAGGTAGAGCCTTGTAGGACAGGGTAAGGAGTTTGAATTTTACTTTAAGTACAGGTATAACAAATACAGGCTTGTTAACAAGGACAGATTACCTTATTAGTCATAATTTACTATAACTGAAATCAGTTTTGGTACACTAAAAAGCAAATAGCCTTTTAACACTGGAAAGGAACAACAACCCGTCTCAACGTTTTAGCATGTATTAAGAATGATGTGATTTTAGGAAAATTTTTCATTAAATTAAGAGAGAGACATAGCCATATGACGCTTTCAGTTTTTAAAATAAACAATATCATAATATCAAATGCAAATATAGTGCTTAAATTTTTAAAAAACTGTATGAGACATTATGGGGAAAAGAATAGCAAACTGGAGGTAGTAAACAGGCACAAATCGTGGATTCCAATTCCAGCATTGCAACAACTAACTAAAATTAGGTTTAACCTAATTACCTTATCAAATATATGAAGACACCAGAGTAGATCAGTGATTTTTAATGCGTTTAAATGGAATTTTTTAGTAGGATGAAATGATACAGAACACTAGTCAGGTCTAGTGGTGCCAACCACTTCCCTACAGCTGAAAAATCACCTAACTAAACATCTTTCTTCTGGCTCTGAAATTTTATCAATTCATTCAACAAACATTTATTGAACAAATATATTCTGAAGGATTTGCTATGTGCCAGGCACTTTTCTTCCCCGCTTACTCTAATCACTTACCCACTGAGAACAAGGAACCACATTGGCCAGAGCCATCGCTATAGGGAGTTCTCCTTGATCACCCATCATTGTGACCAGTTCCACCAATCTCTCAAACCGATCAGCCAATACTGTTTCTGCAAGTGTGTCAAATTCTGTGCCTTGTTGAAGGATTTTTGTCAGAACTTCCATAAATGTAGCTCTTGTCTGGAGATCCTTGTGGTAACCTAAGCCTAATGTGGACAAACAGATGCAAATTTACTAACATGGCCTTGCTGAAGTAATTTTTGCTTCTCTTACATGCCAGTTCTCTAGGTTTTGTATTTCTATATGAAACTTTCATTTGATCTCACCTATGGAGTGCATGAGACCACTGTCTACGTTGGCATTGAGTAAGTTTGACATTGCAAGGACCGTACAGTGCCTCAGTGATGCCAGCCTCCGAGACATGCCACGTTTCCTGCCACCTGTTTGCGCACTTTCATCTTCAACTTCACTGCAGTCATTCAAAAGGTTCATAAATAATGTGAAGTATCTGAGAAATAAAAAGACTGACCTTTACATAGTGAAGGCCGTATCAACTAGAAAGCTAACCAGACATTCCAAAACAATCATATGTGCATGGTGTGAATGGCCCTGGGTTAACTGTTTCTCTCCTCTCTCGCGATAATCAGCCAGGGTGGCTTATTATGAAGTGTGCTATGTTGGACATGATTTTACCTGATATAGCCTAGTATACCTTTCATAACATTAGCATCAAATAGATGCAATATTACCTGGTAAATGTGTCACTTTTAATGTTAGTATATAAAATTAGTGGTCCAAACAGCTTAGACAATGTCACTTTTGTAAATGACTTAATGAAGCAATCTGGGTTTTATTATAAGCAAAATTTCACTGATCATATTACTTTCTTTAAAAAAATCACAAAACACAGTTATTTTCCTATCCTAGTCCTGTCATGGGTATTATTTCTTTGCTTTTTTTGTGTGGTGGGGGGCTTTATTTGCTTTTTGCTTTATGTTTTTTGGTGACTGAAATTTACTTAAGAAATAACTGTGATTTGGCTTCCATCAATTCCACACCATCTCCTTCTTCAGGCTGCAGAGGGAGACCAGCTAGAAGTGAAACTACTGCTTCCATGCTTGCCTGGTCCAAATCTCTGAAAAAAAAAAAAAAAAAAAAAAAAAATTTAGAGACCATGAATCTTTCAAGTTCTTTCACTTCCCCTCAAATAAACCTCTTACTAACAGATATAAACCTTAGGAACTACCTATTTCATTAAACAAATTATTAGCACAACCCAAATAATTTGAGTTAATATGCAGATCCCAGAATACAAAATCATCTCAAATGGGGAGAAGGTAATACTTACTTTCTACAAAGTAATCTTGGCAAAATGGCTACCTTAAATCAGAAGCATGTACAATGGGCCCTCTGTATCAGTGAGTTCTATATCCATGGATTCAACCACCCATGGATTGAAAATATTTGGGGGAAAAAAAAGGAGGGTTTCATCTGTACTCAACATGTACAGATTTTTTGTTGTTGTTATTCCCTAAACAATATGGTATAACAAATATTTATACAACATTTATATTGTATTAGATATTATAAGTAATCTGAAGATAATTAAAAATATATGGGAGGATGTGTATAGTTTATATGCAAATACTATGACATCTTAAGTCAGGGACTTGAGCATCTGTGGATTTTAGTGTTCATGGGAGTAAGATGTGGGCAGGGGTTTGGGGAGTGGTTCTTGGAACCAATCCCTGACAGAGAAGACTGTATTATAAAGCTAGGCTTGGTCAAAGAAACATATGTGAATGCTTATTATACAGTCCATAGTGTTTAATCATTTTCTGATATGTGTCAATAAGTATCATTAAAGCAGACTTGATTACTTCCTTTTTTTTCTGTCTCTGGTGCTTGAATCAGGAAATCAATTATTTCTTAAAAAGATTCAACACAATGAGTTCCTCAAATAATACCTTTATCTATCTAATCATAACACAAATGCAATCTGAGGCTTTATGTATCTTATTTCCCAATAACTGTAGACTATTCTTCATAAACTGACAACACTAACTTCCCAAACATATCACTCTTTCACATTTAATTTTACTGAAAGTCTATCAGTCAAAAAAAAGCAGTAATAAAGATTAGCATCTTTACATATTTCAAACACAAAAGTTTGACATCTCAAAAGTTTAAATACACACAAAATACAAGTATAAAGCTGTAATTAAGTAGTTATAACTCTCACAGTAAAACCCACTAATACTTGAAGGTCATTCTTTTTTTACCTTGTAAGACATTTTACATCATCATCTGCTGCTTGGTTTGATGTTCCCATAACCCAGTCTGTCAGGTATTCTACCATCTTATTCCTATAGAATGGTGGAGAAAAGAGAAACAGCAAACAATGTTTTTGAAGCCACACACACACCTTTAGTCACGTAAGATTTCTTATAGTGCAAATAATTTGCCAGATAACCTAAGTGACATGACGACTTTATAAAAGAGATACTGCTATCACAGACATAAAAGCCAGAAGGGAACAAGCAACATGGATATTTATCCTCCATCATGGCCCTTAGTTATGGTATCAGATTGGAAATAGAATCAAATTCTTAGCTCAAGTATAGCACAGTTTTAGAAAAAGGGAGCATTGTCACAGGCACAAAGCTTAGGGAAATTTGAGAAGAGATGTAGAGAAAAACAAACATGTAAATTGCTCTCTTTTCATGTCCTCCTTTCTACCAATAACCGCATATCTACTCTTTTTCTGTACTTCATTGGACATATTAAGATTTACAAGACCCTACATTGCTCTTTTGAGAACTCACCTAAATTTCATCTCTTGGCAAAATGAGAGGTCATCTCTCCTTGCCATCATTACTTCAACTAATTGACACAGTTTCGTTTTTATTTGAATTGCATGGACCATATTCCCAAGCACACGAACATACCTATATAGACATAGAAACAATAAAAAAATTATCAGATATAGACAAAAGAGAAGGCATTCTAAATACTTTAGTCATCAAGTAAAACGAATTAAATGTAAGTTTGAAAACAATAAGATATTTATTTAGAAAAGAACGTACACAACTTCTGGCTACCTTACTGTCACACCCTAGTTTGTGTGCAGTAAAGAATGGCCAGTTATTTTATCAATTACTACCAGTATCAGTGTGTAAGAGGTTTTTCTTATCTCTTAAAATGTTTCTGCTACATTTCAGTAGAATGCTTACCTGACCAGATTTAACATCATTGTTTCAATGCTAGCTTGCCCTAGATGTTCAGAGCTGCCTTCAGTATGATTATCTAGCAAGTTCTTCATTATAGCTATGGTTTGTTCTACAAATTGAGTATTGGTATCAGTCAATAAAACCTAAAGAAAGAACAAATACATTAATGATTTGCCATCAATGCCCAGAAGACAGACCCCCTAGAGAGATGAAACTGACTGATCTAAACACACAGAGTAAGTGCACCCACAGGCATAGAGCCAAATAAGCATACAGATATACGCAGACACTCGTACCCATACACAGGGCACGTATACCCTTAGGCACACATACACACCAGAGTTCCTAAGAGGCAAGCTGACCCCTACATTGAGATGACTCTTCTTTCTGCAATTTTTTGGAAATTTTTAAAAACTGTGAGTACCTAATTTAAATAATCTGAAAGAAAAAGGCTTATTTCAAACAAGTCACTCTATTCATAGAGAAAGGTGAAAAATAAGAGAACACTTTACCTGTCCTTGGGAGTCAAAAAACTTGCTGATGGTATTCTTCAATTTGTTAAATAGCATTGGATACAGAGCAGGACTCAATTCTAGACCCACCAGATCCTTAACATTGGTCCGTATTTGAAGTCCCACTTTCTCATGGTTACACACCATTAAGGACAACAGCCGATCCATAAATTTGCTGACAGGTGTATCTGCGTTTCCCTCTGAAGACATCACTGAAATCATAGAACCCTTACGTTCACTGACTGGACCCATGGGTGGGCTATAGGTTGCCAGGCCAGAATTGCTTCTCTGCTGGAGGCACACTCCCCCAAGGGCACAAAGGAAGCCAGTCATGTTGATCCATTCCTGTAGGGAGTCTGTGTCAGACAAATCTATGGATCCTCCTCCACTCACATGGGACATTCGCCTCTTAACAATGGTCTTGTGAAGGCTTTCAGCAGCCTAAACACAAAATTTTTGTGCAAAGCATGAATTAAACCTTAATTAGTTGAGACTTGACAAATTATGCTTTATCCAACATTTCTTCCATGACAAAAGTACAAAAAATGTAAAATATACATTAAAATCAACCCATAAAATTACCATATACATTTTTAAAGAGCCACTGATCTATTTTTATCATACACTAATATAATCAGCCGAGTGTCAAATTTCTTTTAAAAAGTTTTGATTTCACATGGATGAACCTTGGAAACATCATGCTAAGTGAAAGAAGCTAATCACAAAAGCCCACATATTCTATAATTCCATTTACAGAATATATCCGGAATAGGCAAATCTACAAAGACAGAAAGTAGATTCATGGTTGCCTAGGGCTAGAGACGTTGGGGGAAGAGAGGCAAGAAAGTGGGTGGGGGGTGGTTAGAGGCAGAGATAGCTAAAGGGTACGGGGTTTTTTTCTCAATTGATGAAATTGTTCTAAAACTTGATTGTGGTGATGGTTGCACAACTCTGTGAATACATTAAAAACAGTCACTGAATTGGACACTTTAAATGGGTGAACTGTATGGTATGTAATTATATAAAACAGTTATCCCCCCAAAAGCTTTCATTCTAAAGCTACATGTCCCCTCCAAATAAAGGTATTAGGTACACACATTTGCTTCGTAAAAATATAACTTTTTCCTATTGTAATTAAGCATGACAAAAACACCATGGAGGAACAACCAGTTTTTATAAATCACCTAATAATGAGAGCAATATGAACATTACAAATCAAATACACACAAACACTAACTGATCATTAATTTCCAAAGTAACAGATAATATAGTCAATAGTAATAGTTGAATGAACTGTCCACATTTTAAAATTTCATTTACTCTATGGGATCAATCTACTGCCTAAGACATTCCTTAATTAGAATACCTAACAAAATAGCAAAATGAATTGTTTCCATGTTAATTTATCTCTACCTCTGTTGCTCCTTTTCTGAAAATTCTGTGAAACACCCTGATGAAGGGAGAAAGAGCAAGAAAAGGTAAAGAAATGGTCTCTGCAACAAACAGTCTCTAGCAGTGCTGCCCAGTATTTCTGTGATGACAGGAACATTTTCTCTCTCTGCTGTCCAATAGAGTAAGTAATTGTCATATGTGGCTACTGGTACTTGCGATGTGGTTACTATATGATTGAGGAACTAAATTTTATTTAATTTTAATTATGTTAAAATTTAAGTTAAATAGTCACACATAGCTAGTAGCTACCACATTACAAAGTACAGGTCTAGATAAACCACAACTAAATATCAGTCTTCACACAGCTATATGTTTACTTTACTGAGCGACTCTTGAAAGATTATCAAAGTGAAGTACATATATTTAGCAGATCAGTTAACAGACAAAAGTCAACTTTACAGACTTACCTGGCCATCTTCCATTTTGGCTTTTGGATAGTTAAGGATTAGCTTTGTTGCTTGTTCCCATTTTGCATGTGTATCTTCCCAAGCCTAAAATGAAGGCAATTATCACTTGAAAGCAACTTAGTCTAGAGCTAAACATCAATCAGCTACAGCCAAGTTTCAAACTTGATGTATATTAAATACTCAGATATTATACTTGTAATATGCACGTATCTTGGATTTACTTCAAAAGCTATTCCTGATCACACATATGTAACAAGAGGCTTCCAAATTGAGGGTGGGCGCCTGGGAGGGGTGTTTCTGTTGCTAAGGGCATACCTCAGTGTTTCCTGCAGTGGGATGCTCAATGCGCCTCAGCAGTGCCATCACTCTTTTCTGAAGTGCTGCTCTTCCTAAGCAAATACAACAGCAAATCAAGTTACTGCACTTAGAGCCCTGCCTGCCAATGGAGAACCTGATAAGCTCCACCCAAAAGGAGTAGGAAGAGCAGAGCAAATGCTTCAAATGATAAAGCCAAAAACTTCCTTTCACTAACCTCACAGGAAAGGTACTTATCTTGGACTCTACAATGTCCACAGAATAAAATAGCTATTCCCACCTACAATTTACTCAAAACATACGCCAATGTTTGTAAAACTTCACTATCTACAACTTAGGCAGAGTAAATTACATAATCATAACTGATAGTAACATCTACTGCCAGTTATTTTTAAAATGTATAGCATATTAACAACTCAGTGGAAGACTAACAATTTATTTCAAATGCTTTTTATTTTCATCTTACTTTGTTCAGAAAAGGATTTCAAGTAAGCTACTTGAATTTCCCCTGTAAACTTACAAAGTAGTGACCTTAAATACATTCTCAAAATCAGATGCCATGTGCTTTGAGGCAGACTGAGTAAAAAAAACCACTATTCACATTTACCTGTTGACATCATATTGCTGACAGAGGCAAACTCCATGAATGTGTTATAGTTGGGCAAGAGGTTATGCACTGACACTTCATCCACCCCACACCGGATATCTGCTTCCTCACAGAGGTGGCGGAAACAGGACATGGCAACCAGAACAGCTTCAGTGTCAGGGTTCCACAGAAACATGTACAGGGCCACTTCTAGTTTGGTCTGGGCTTGTCGGCAAATCGGGGGGGTTCCGCTGCATCCTGCTGCACTATCCTGAGAGTCAAGGGTGGAAGACATATATTTGCAACTTGGGTAATTTTATGTATAAAATCTAACAATGCAATAAACTGTGTGTGTGTGTGTGTGTGTGTGTGTGTGTGTGTGTGTGTCTCCGCATACAATAACTCACAAGAGCTTTTTCCTTTAATCATTATAGGAATTTTTCAAACCCCAAAATATCTTGTCCAAATGAGAAATGAGATTATCTGGACCAACATAATGCTACCATCTGTTCAATTTCAAATCAAATAGATATTATCCTATTCCAGATTCCAGAAATGTAAACTGATTCTAACATGGACAGGTAAACACCATAACGTAAATCTACTGCAGTAACAATATAATGTACCTCCCAGTCAATTAGAAATGACAAAAAAAGAGGAAGTAACAGGAAATTCTATCTACTTGCTATAGGGAAGTAATAAAATAAGTACACTGCAGCACTCATTGAAACAAGGGCATAAACAAGAACTAAATATTGCTGTAGAAGATACATTTGATTCTGAATTACTTATTCTCCAAACACGAAATGGAGAAAATAATTGATAAAATAAATGCAAATTCTACAAGTAAAACAGACATTAGTAAATATCATACTGCTTAGGTGTTTCTTCCTTAACAAGGTTGCATTAAAAATTAGGAATGAAAAAAGTTTTGGTTTGGAAAATAAACTCTTCTGTAATGATGTGATATTTTCACTTGAAATATGATTTATATTTAAAAGAAATTATACACACAAACACAAATCACAGAAACACTTATCTTTAACATGAAGCAAAATACTTTGTTTTTATCCCTGTAAATCTGTACCTTTGTTAGCCGGTACGAATTCTATACTTCTGTGGTATGAATGGGTTTTTTATGGAGTGGAGGTTTATAATAATTATAATTATCAGATATAGCTTGTAAGTGTCAAGTGCTATTTACACATCCTTTTATTTAACCCTCTTTAACAACTCTGGGGCAGGAACTATTACTGTCCCCATTTTAAAGTTGAGGAACTGAGGAACAAGGATGTTAAGAACTTGCCCAAAGTTCCACAAAGAGCAGTAATAGAACTAGATTCTAAGCAGTTTTTCACTATTACACTATATTACCTAGATGAAATTTACCAAATTTCATTCAGAAAACAAACAGAGCACATAAAATGATACAGAAAAAGTACAGAAGAAGCTGACCATAGAGGAGTTCCCTTTTCCCTTCCGGAGAGAGGCTCCAGGAGTACGTAGTAATTCTTCATGATCCATGGACATTTGACTGGTATTTCCACTAGAAGGAATATCACATCCTACCCCGTAAAAAAGGAGAAAGTGACAGGAACTTCTATCTGCCTGCTAGAAAAAAATAAATAAATAAGCTTTACTGAAGCACTGACAACCAAGAGGAATAAACACTTATTTGAGTTGTCTTCCTGTTTGAGACTCTCCTAAAAAACCTCTCCTCTCAATCTCTATGCCCCAACTTGAAGGAGATTCACTAGAAACCCATTAGAACAAACAAGGTTTACTTAATTCTTTAAAATTTCTTTCAGTTTCCCATTCTCTAAATCATCAGAAACAGTAGATTCTACAAATATAAATTAAGTCTGACATAAACATGAGTAAAACATCAACAATATAAATCTACTGTATGAAAACTATAATTTGATCTCAATGACAAAGATTTTTTTTCCATAAGATTTTATACTGTGCCATGTTGGGATAACCAGAAATTGGCTCTTGAGATTAAGTTCTTCTGGACCAGTAATTAACTCTGGTATGTATATACACCAAGTATGTCACAAGAGTGACTATGCCTACCAGGGCACTATGAATTCATTACTGGATTCCTCATACTCACATTCTGGAGATTATACCATAGGCGAGGCCATGAAAGTCTGAAGTCTAATCTCTTTCTGTATCTTTGGAATAATGCCAAATTCCACTACATTAACATATCAAATAAGTCACATGTGAATAAACCCACTTCACCATTAGTCTATTTCTAAAGAGACAATTTATTAATAACAAGCTGTAAATACTGAAAAGGATATGAGTTTCATACATTTAAGGTCTTTCACAGCTATGCTTCTAGTACCAGATAAAAACTCATTAAATCAAGTACTCCGAAAACTAGGCCATAACAGAATTCCTAAATTGATTAATTACAGAAACTATATGTTAAAAGAAATTTAAGGCTCTTCTCTATCTTCCACAACCTCACCATGTTTCAATAGTTCAGAATCAAAACATTTCACTCCACCCCAATGAAAAAGTCTCCTGATATTTTCAAGAGGTGAAACCCTTATTGGAGGAATCGAAATAAATCTAGATTGAGGACCCTCAACTGTTTCCCTTTTGCTTCTTGATAGATAATTCTCTGGACTAGTCTAGCCATGAGATCTAGGTCTTTACGATTTCTCAGAGCTATGATTCTAGAACTGGACAAAAACCCATTAAATCAAGTACTCCCAAATCTACGCCATAATAGAATTCTTAAATTACAGAAGCTATATGTTAAAATAAATTTTATGTATGAATTATGTCTTATGTATGAACTTAAGAGTAAAGATACAATATGCTCCTCAAGCTACTCTGGTTATAGCAGCCCCCACTTTTCCTAGGCCTGCCCCATAGAGACCTATTTAACTCAACTAGAACTAGAATTCATCAACAGTGTGGTTCTAAGGCCAAAGCCTCAGAATAATTTTTAAAATGCTGATTTGCCAGTCATTGTCCTCTGCATACATATTTCCTTTTGAGAACATTGGGAGGAAGGAGAAGCTGAAATAGAACCTAATTTGGCTATAAAACACTTTAGTAATCTCTCACCATTACCATTCCAAATATTCTTCCATTTTTTAAATATGTCATTTTGCTTACCTTATTTTTAAGAAGAAATTTATTCCTGCAGATCAATATTTCCCGCAACCACTTGAGAATTTCTGTGCTACTAAGCATTTGATGACTAGTTAATTTCTTGCAGATGTAAAAAAGCATTTGTGAGCTGCAGTAACATAAAGTTCATTGTTACTAGCATCATCAATAACCTAATGCAGATATAACCAGACATAAGAATGGCATTCTCCCATAATGAATACAAGTTTAGAGAAGCTTAGTTTTTCTTGTAAGGTTTTAGAGAAACAGTTATCAAAGTGTCAATAGCATTATAATCAAAGGAAATAAGTCTACAGGTTATAGAAAAAAAGCAAGTATTTATCTATAAGCCCCCTATGTTTCATTAAACTCCCAGTGTTTCTATCCATGTATCTCATCCTTGTAGTAGACATAAGAAGAAACAATAAACCACATGCACAGCAGAGACTGCCTATAAACCCAGTGCTCCACAGTGGGGGTCTGCAAGCTACCATCCACAGGCCAAACCTAGCCTATCACTTGCTATTGTAAATATACAGTTTTAGTTAAACACAGCCATGCCCGTTCATTCACATGTCTGTGGCCACTTTCATGCTCCAAAGGCAGAACTGAATGGTTATGACAGAAACTATATGACCCACAAGCCCTAAAATATTTACTATCTGGCCTTTTAGAGAAAAGTTTCCTGATCCCTACTCCAGAGCTGCACTGTCTAACATGGTAGCCACTAGCCAGCCACACGTGGCTATTGAGCACTTTAAGTGTGGCTTGTTCAAATTGAGATGTGCTGTAAGTATAAAAGACACACCAAAGTTTGAAGACTTTATTAAAAAAAAGAGAATGAAATGTCATTAATAACTTTTATATTGATTACATGTTGAAATTATAGATAATATACACCGGGTTAAACAAAACATAATTACAATTAATTTTACCTGCTTCTTTTTACTCTTTAATGTAGTAAGTAAAAAAGTTTTTAACATATGGGGTTCTCATTATATTACTAGTGGACAGCACTACTCTAGAGTAAGGTTTAATTCAGCTGCCAAGTAACTTAGCACACCCATTCTTATAAGATAATGGCAAACTTGAGGTTTACACATTTACATTTTCCTCCGTGTGGTGACTTCATGCTCATTAAAATGTAATGATTTGTATAATCTAGGAAGCAGACCACAAAATTCTGCATACATTTTTTTCTTCTAAGCAGGTGTCCATTATTAATTCATTCATCGAAAGCATTGGTATTACAGAAAGTTTATGAAAGATCATAGTTCAAAAAACTGAAAAAACAGTATTGTTACAAAATTTTATCATTCTAGGCTTATAACTATGAAAATCTATTAAAAATACAGTAGTAACCACATTGAAATCTGAAAAAAGTAATATACCAAACAACAGTACTTATGTTAGGGTGACAAAATTTAGCACTATTCTTAAAATTTATTTTCTAAATTGCTGTGATACTTTTCTTACAGTTAAAACAAGAAATTCTAATAATTTGAAGTCAAATAAAATACAAAACCATAAAACCTTTGGAAGTGTAAGTTTTACAATGTACTAAGTACTACAGAGTTAATATTTCAAGACAAAAATACAAAATAAAATTTAAAAGTTGAATTTAAAAAATAAAAGTACATATACCTAATCTCCCAAAATGTTTCTACAGGAGCATCAGGATTCCACAAATCAATGCTATCTAACTGATGAAGAACCAGCAGAGCCTGAATTTTTTAAAAAAGAGAAAGACAAAGAGAAGACTCACTCAAACATTTTTGGTAAACATAACACTGGAGTACTTATTTTATAAATGCTAAGAAATTGAGCTCTTTCATTTGTAGTTTCAATATATAGTAAAAGGTAAAAAGAGAGAAACTCTGGTGAACACAAACCTCTAGGGAATAATACAGACAGAATGAAATCATTTTATTCCCATCATTCTGACTCTAACTGGCATGTACATATAAAGCTAAATGATGAATTCGGAACAATATATAACTGTAAAAACTGCTTTAAGAAACAAACAAAATAATTTCAATAGATATTAAAGAACTCTATGAAACAAAAAGCTAATCCCCAAGTAAGAAGGCTTGCCAAAATTAATACACACAGCAAAAGATTTACTTATCTTTTAAGTTTTTACTTAAACTGTCTCACTTGCCACAAAGTCTCTTGTAACAGAAAAGAGCAATTATTTTTCAAAATCAAGAGAGAGGAAGCAAAATGGATTCAGTATTTCATAGCAGATTATCCATTCTAAAGTATTTCAATTGACCACAGAACTGAAGTTGGAATCTGGCTCAGAGAACACTAACGGGAATTAAATAATTCATTTACAATATATAACATATAAATAGATTATTATATAAATTAAAACCATCAAAGATATAAAAAAAACACAAACTCTTCCTTCGAACTGATCTTATCTCAACTCCAATTCTACAATCCCAATTCACATTCCTCCCACCATCCCTCCACCCCCAACCCAGCAGAAACTGTGAAGCTCTGGACATTTCTTTCAGTCCTTGGTCAACATATCAACATTTAAAGGCCAGACCCATATTATCTTATTTCAAACATTTTTATTGTAATTACTTTGAGATATTTAATGAAAATTGCAATTAATTGTTGAGAATCTTAAAAAGCTATATAATTTATAGCTCTCATATCAAGGAAAAACAACACAAATTAAAATTCAATTTTGCTACTATTGTACAAAAACGTGGTACAATTTACTGGCACTAGTTTTTTTAAGTGACAAATTCTCTATATTTTTGTTTGATAAAACTTTAAAAATACATATTGAAAGAAAATGTGTTAGCCTTTTCCAGGCTTTAATTTTCTTTTCATATTGCCTTCTTTTTTTTGTATTTTCCATGTTTTAACAAAGCCATAAATGCAGTATACTCACTTGACATTTCATATTTTTCCATATTGCTGTGTGATCTATATAAGTTTTAATAAATGTTTAACAGCTCACCAAGTTAAAATAGCATTCTCACTATTGAATATTAACCCATTCTCCTCCCAGTAAATAAAGCTCTCTTAATATTCTATTATAATTAAGAGCAATAAGTACCTATGTGTGCAGCTTTTTCCTTTTGAGTTATATTCATAAGATTTTTAAAGTGATAGAAATTGAATTATTTGCATAAAAAAATGAAATGTTTGTATAGCTCCTGCCAAATAGCCTTCCAAAAAGACTACAAGAAATGTATCAATTTACGGGACCAATAGCAATGTACACAAATGGAAGCAATGATTACGTAGTAAGTGCTAAAATATTTTTATAAACATTTTTACTGGGTATGTATAAACATTTGTACAGTATGTACATTAGGATGGCTACAATCAAAAAGACACATTATAAGAAGTGTTAGCAAGCATACAGAACTATTAAAACCTTCATATGTTGTTACTGGGAATATAAAATGATACAGCTGCTTCAGAAAAAGAGTTTGACAGTTCCTCAAAAGTTCGACAGAGTTACCACACGACTTAGCAGTTCCACTCCTATATACTTAAGAGATATGTCCACATATAGACTTTTACACAAATGTTCATAGCAGCATTATTTGTAATAGCTAAAAAGTAGAAACAACACCAAACGTCCACCAACTGATAACTAGATGAACAAAACAGATCCATACAATGAAATATTTGGCAATAAAAAGGAAGAAAATAGTGATTCATACCACAACATAAATGAACCTTGAAAGCATTAAGTCAAGGTAGCCAGACATAAAAGGCCACATATTCTATGATTCTATTTATATGAAATATCTAAAACAAGCAAATCCATAGAGACAGAAAATAGATTAGTAGTTGGTAGGGATGAGGGAATGGGGAGTCAAGTTTCTTTCTGGGGTGATAAAAATGTTATGGATTAGAGAGTAGCTATAGTTGCACAACTGTGTGAATAAGAACTACTTAGGGGGGAGGGGGGAGGGATACCATTAGGAGATATACCTAATGCTAAATGACAAGTTAATGGGTGCAGCACACCAACATGGCACATGTATACATATGTAACAAACCTGCACATTGTGCGCATGTAACCTAAAACTTAAAAGTACAATAATAATAAAATTTAAAAAAAAGAACTACTTAAAATGGCCAAATTGAGGGTATGTGAATTATGTCTCAATTTAAAAATTAGTATTTTTAATATTTAATAATAATATTTTTAAAAATTTTAAAGTCAACTGCAATTAGAAAATCTCGAACTATTTTATTAAGCATCAGAATTTGTACAATGTTATTGCTATGTGATACAAAGCAAGTAAACCCCTTCTTTCTCCATGGAGTTTTATAAAACAATGTATAGACATAAACATACCATTTCCAGAAATGACATCTACCTGTTACTCACAGAAACCACACACCAAAGGAACATCATGAATGTACATAGTTACAATCTTTCCTTCAAGAACATGGAATTCATTTTCCCCTTACCTCCATTGCTTCCTGAGCAATCTCTGGCATGTGTGACTGAGGGACCAGTTGGACGAGCCCTGTAATTAATTCTGCTGTACTGCCTTGGGTTTCGGGCCCCTGTTTTCTTGGATTCTGCAAGGAAAAAAAGGAAACTTCAATTAAAAAAATAAATAAATCGAGAGAGATTAGAAGGAGGAAGAAATAGACAGTGACTGCTAAAGGGTACCAAGTTTCTTTTAGGGGTGATAACAATGTTCTAGAACTAGGCTGGACGCGGTGGTTCACGCCTGTAAGCCCAGGACTTTGGGAGGTAGTGGCGGGTGGATCACCTGAAGTCAGGAGTTTGAGACCAGCCTGACCAATATGGTGAAATTCTATCTCTACTAAAAATATAAAAATTAGCCAGGCGTGGTGGCATGCGCCTGTGGTCCCAGCCACTTGGGAGGCTGAGGCAGGAGAATCGCTTGAAGCTGGGAGGCGGTGGTTGCAGTGAGCCAAGATTGCACCGCTGCACTCCAGCCTGGGTGGCAGAGCGAGACTCCATCTGGAAAAAAGAAAAAAAGAAAAAAGAAAAAAAAGAAAGAAAGAAAAAAAAGTTCTAGAATTACATAGTGGTAATGGTTGCAGAACCTTGTAAATATACTGAAAACAACTGAATTGTAAACTTTAAGATGGTGAATTTTATGGTATGTGGGTATAGTATTTTTATCTCAATAAAATAAAAATTTTATTAAATCAAAACTTCTTTTGTTAGGGATTCTTTTAATCCACATCTATACTTGTTCATTAATGTGAATAATGTCCAGGGAAAATCCTAATGAAAACAAAAACCACGAATTCCCATTAAAAATTACATCAACAATATGAGGAATAATTTTTTTTCCAACAATAGTAAACTGGCTAAAGAACGTATCTCTGGTTTGGAACTTACTGGTTTTGAGCTTATACATGATTGTGATCAAAGGTAAAGGACATACATGTTGGATAAGGATTGCATGATTATCCTGTACAGCCCTCTTGACCCATACAAAGGTCCTGCCCAAATCCACACAGCTGGTAACAAAGCAAAGGCTAGAATTTGCATCGGCAGATACCCATACTTCGGTCCTTTTCATCGTGGAAAAATATAGTGTACTAAGCAAAGAAAATTAACGTTATGTAAAAATGTGAATGCCTACCTTTTTTTTTTTTTTTTTTGAAACGGAGTGCAATGGCGTGATCTCGGCTCACTGCAACCTCTGCCTCCTGGGTTCAACCGATTCTCCTGCCTCAGCCTCCCGAGTAGCTGGGATTACAGGCATGCGCCACCACGTCTAGCTAATTTTTGCATTATTATTAGAGATGGGGTTTCACCATGTTGGCCAGGCTGGTCTCGAACTCCTGACCTCAGGTGATCCACCTGCCTCGGCTTCCCAACATGCTGGGATTACAGATGTGAGCGACCACGCCCTGCCGAATGCCTACCTATTTAGAGACTAAAATGTTTCTCTTAACTTGGAAGCATATATTTGCACTTCAAGAATATATGGTTTGGCCAGGCATGGTGGCTCATGCCTGTAATCCCAGCACTTTGGGAGGCCAAGGCAGGCGGAGTGCTTGAGGTCAGGAGTTCGAGACTAGCCTGGCCAACATGAAGAAACCCCATCTCTCCTAAAAGTACAAGCCGGTTTGGTGGCGGGTGCTTGTAATCTCAGCTACCTGGGAGGCTGAGGCAGGAGAATCACTTCAACCCAGGAGGCGGAGGTTGCAGAGAGCTGAGATCACACCACTGCACTCTAGCCTGGGCAATATAGTGAGACTCTGTCTCAGAAAAAAAAAAAAGAAGAATATATGAAGCCAATGCAACTTGTGTCCCATATTTTATTTTGCTAACTATAGATTTTTCCCCATTATAATGACTAAGGTAAGCCCTCACTGCAATATATCTGTAATTCAAAACCGTTAGCTTATTTTCTGACATTCATATAAATTCATCCAAAACCAAATCATTTTTATTGAATGCCAAAGACACAACAATGAAAAAGAGAAGATGTGTTTCCCATCCTCCATGAGCATGTAGTCTCATGGGGGAAGATATCATCAATGAAATAATCAGATCAACAAGTATAAAAATGCAAATCACATAAGAGCTATTATTAAGGTACATGCTGCTATGACAGCCTATAACATGGAAAAGTGTCCGACTCAGGGAGGCTTCCTTAGTGCAGTGACAATAGCTTAGAATGAGTAGGAATTACTATGTTAAGAGTAAGCAGATTCTAGGCAGAGGGAAAAGCAACTGCAAGGGAGGTATGAAGGCATGTGGTTAGAAAGACTGAAAGGAAGACCATCATGAATAGAGTAAAGGAAGACAAAAAATGTAATGCTACATGTGGAAGAAATGGTAGATGGGAGAAAGATTTTGCACGACCCTGTAGATCTATTTGGAGTTTGGTCTTCATAAGCAAGAGCAATTTCAACTAAAAGGGTTCAAGCTGAGAGGGGGCATAATAAGATTTGCTTTTTAAAGAGACTGCCATAACTTCAGTGTGGAGAAATGATCAGGGGGATCTAAGAAACGATGCAAGCTGAGTAATTAGGAGGCTTGAGAAATTGAGAGTACTAAAATGGAAGACAAAATCATATTACTTTAAAAATACCATGATTGAGACCATTTAATAATTATTCCTACATTCCTCCTAAATTACTAAGACTCAGATTTTTTATGTAAAAGACAAAATGGTCAAATATTTACAACGAATCTTCTATTTTAATGTACTTATGGTTACCTTGAGAAAACTTATTAACCACTAGATGGCAGCAAAGCAAATAATTTCCATTTTAAATGATCCTTGGAAAATGGCAAGTTTTGCTTAAATTCTTCTTGAAGCAACATTTAGTAGAAACGGCATTGGTGAGTTTGGTGCCTGCTTTGAATGTGAATTATCACCACGTAAACAGAGTACTGCTAGTATTATGTGACCTTCATGATGAAATAATGCCACAAATAGCTTGTAACACATAACAAAGGAATGAAGAGAAAGGGAACTTCATTTTTTTATAGAGTTTCACTGACAGGTTTTATGGAATTTTTTCATGCCAAAGATCTGTTTATTCTAATTAGACTTTCAAACTTGAATGGGTTTTTCAGGCTTAAAGTATCACAGGCCTTCTTTTGGGGTCACTGATCCTTTGGGAATGTTCCTTCTTCTCTCCTCTCCACTCTCCAAGAAAAATTACTCATAAATACACATTTTTAAAAAATTCACGAAGTTTCATAGAACTCTTGGAATCATAGGCATGTAGTTACAAACTCCCTGTATTACAGTAATTTAAAAAATATGCCACCAAAATCGAAAGCACCTTAACACTTTTTAAAAAGCCAGTTACTGAGCAAAACGATAAGAAACCTTGCTTGATGCTGCTCTCCAGGGACTGAAGAAGCTCAACAAAGGTTAAACATGTCATCCTATGAAAGACACAATATAGAACTATTACATTTGGTGCATTAATTAGTGTTAAATTGTATCTTATTAATAGCAATAATAGCTAACATTTATTTAGTGCTTATTATGCACCAGGCATTGTTCCTAAAGCATTGTATGTACTATTTCAATTTTCCTAACAGTATCTCTGAGATAGGAACTATTATGATCCCAATATATCAGATGAGAAAACTAAGGCATAGAAAGATTAAATAGTCATCCAAATCACATAGCTAGTAGGTAGTCTCCAGCGTCCATGCTGTTAATCACTTCATTATGACTCATTTTTATTATTTGCGTTGTTCCTAATTACTCTGTGTACCAGAGTGATGTTCTCAGAAATTTAATATCATCTGAGGCAGTAAGAGTAGTTATGACAATAACTGACTACTAGCCAGGCATGGGGGCTCATGCCTGTAATCACAGCACTTGGGGAGGCCGAGGCTGGAGGATGGCTTGAGGTCAGGAGTTCGAAGGCAGTGAGCCATCACTGCTCCACTGCTCTCTAGCTTGGGAAGCAGAGCAAGACCCTGTCTCAAAATAATAATAATAATGATAATCACACTAACTCAAGTACTAACCACACCCATTTTCACCTCATTCTTTTTCCAATACAGTATTTGTAGGCAGAGCCAATGATAACAGAAAGCTGATAACACAAAGAAAGGGGGATAGAAAAGCTAAACTGGCAAAAGCAATCTGGAGATTTTTTAAACCAACAGTATAGATGTAGACACTGTGATCGATGGTCACTTCTATCCCCCATACCAGGATTATACCTGAATAATATATAACTTAGTAATAGGATGAGAACAGAGATCTCATCAAAGTATGTTAGTTTAATGATAGGGAAATTAAGAAGAAAGAGAAATGTTAGGAAATGATAAGGGCAATTAAGAATCTGATCTAATTATATTAGTATTCATTATACATTAGTTTTCTTAGAGACGTCTTAGTTTTCAGGTATGATCAGAAAGGATCAGTAAGTGCTCTTGAGCTAAAAATTATCCTCAAGGTCTTGGCGTTTCAGCTAAACCCAATTAACTTAGTGTGATAATTTTGAGACATTTCATAAAAAAATACTTACACAAAGCAAGAGCTTTGGATCTGCATGAATTAGTTTCACCATGGACAAGAGAAGATACTTATAGCTTCTTGTCTCCAGGTCTGTAGGTTTTTCTTTAAATTTAAGGCTTGTTACTTTTTCTTTAAATGTAAGACTCTAAAAACAAAACAAAAACATGGTATCAGACATAAGACTCAGGATAATAGCTATCCAACCTTTTAAAAGAAATTTATTATTAAAAACCTTTGAAAAAAGCTATTTTTTATACTACCAAATGTGTGGTATTAGTAGAAACACTCAATAGTAAGCATAAGGTCAGTATTATTAAGCTTAACAAAACAATGAAAATCGTTTTTGCACCATTTATATTTTTTTTTATCAATCTAATAAAACAATGAAAATCTATTACAATACTAAAAGCTTAGTATCAGGTTGTAAAACATCTATGTAAAAAACTATTTTCTAAAATGTAAAAACATAAGGGAAAAAAGATTTGGCCTATAGTTCTCACAAATATACACACTGGGTAATTTATTTAACAAACATTCCCCAGACATACATACAAGTATTTCATAGACTCTACAACATTATCAATTGTAAGATGCATCATTATTTGATGTCCCAAAAGGAATGAAAAACTGCTGTCAATTGTAAGACACCATTTAAAATAAGATACATTCCCAATTTTAGAGAAGAGTAAAAATAAGTGCTTCTTAGAATTAATGAAACATGTAGGCAATCTTTGTATTTACTAGTTTAATTGTAAAATTTGCTTTTTCCTTCGACGGCACTCCACCTCTTTTAAGTTACAGAATGCATGCATTTTGCCTGAAGAACATTTGTAAAACAGAAAGAACTCAGAAAGGTAAACTTACAGAAAATATGTTTCAATTATAGAGACATATGATGAATTAAAATAATTATAAATGTTTTTCAACCAAAAATCCAACAATTATATTCCAGAGCTAACATCACCTATTATTATAAAACATCTCCTTCCTTTTTTCCTTGAAAAGAACACAAAACTATCTGATTCTGAATGAATGTCTTTATGTAAACATATATATAATACAGAAATAACAAGACTGTGTACCAACTGTGGACCCATAATACAAATGTCCAGGTAAACAGGCTGTCTTTCAAAGTTAAGAAGCAGACATGCATATCTACAACACAAATGAACTATCCTCAATGTTTAAGTGAAATATGCATTTGTTATTATACCCAAGAACACCGAAGGGTTTTAGTCCTTGCGGGGAAGAATAGCTATTTAATGCACACATTTATACTCAAGAATGTCACTACAGAAGAGAAATAGCAAAACTTCCAAATAGTTTGCTTTTTATAACTGCCCCCTGACCCCAAAGCAAATGTTTTACTAAATGATTTAATAAATTCTGGTTTTACTGTTTGCTCTCTTTCAACTGTATTTTTTTCCTCACTCTAAGTTGAGGTGTTTCACCTCAGATCAAGCTGAAACTTTGATTAAACGAATTTATTTACTTTGATGTAACTAAGTGTAACTATCAAATGGCTCTTCCCTGATGCAGCCATTGCACAGGAACACAAGATCAGAGAACAATGAGCAGGTATCAGAATTTTTCCTTAAGAATCATTTCCAAAAAACGTAAATAGAGTCATATGCCACAAAACAACATTTCAGTCAATGATAGACAATATGTAACATAGCTGAAAAATTCCTATCACTTAGTATCATAGCCATCGTGATGTCCAAGCACAATGCGTTATTGTTTGTAGTGATGCTGGTGTAAACAAATCTTCACTTCTAGTCATATAAAAAAAAAGTATAGCACATACAATTATGTACAGTATACAATACTTGATGAGAATAAATAACTGTTACTGGTTTATGTATTTATTATAATATATATATTTTGAGACCAAGTCTCACTTTGTTGCCCAGGCTGGAGTGCAGTGGCGCGATCTCGGCTAACTGCAACCTCTGCCTCCCGGGTTCAGGCAATTCTCCTGCCTCAGCCTCCCAAGTAGCTGGGACTACAGGCATGCACCACCACGCCCAGCTAATTTTTTTCTATTTTTAGTAGAGAAGAGGTTTTGCCATGTTGGCCAGGCTGGTCTCGACTCCTGATCTCAGGTGATCCACTTGCCTTGGCCTCCCAAAGTGCTGGGACTACAGGCGTGAGCCACCAGGCCCAGCCTACTATAGTATACTTTGTATTGTTATACTCCTACTTAAAGATAAAAAGTTAACTATGAAACACAGCCTCAGAAGGTCCTTCAGTAGGTATTCCAGAAGAAGGCATTGTTACCACAAGAGATGACAGCTCCACACGTTATTTCCCCTAAAAACCTTCCAATGGGAGCAGATGTGGAGGTGGAAGACAGTAACACTGATTGATGATCTTGACCCCATGTAGGCCTAGGCTAACGTGTATGTTTGTGTCCCAGATCTTAAAACAGTTTTCAAAATAAAAATTAAAATAGAACATTTTCAAATAGAAAAAACTTACAGGATATAAAGAAAAATATTTTATACAGCTAGCTATACAAAGTGTTTTAAGCTAAGTGTTATTACAAGTCAAAAAATTAAAAAATTTAAAAGTTTATATTTTAAAAGCTACTGTAAAGTTATCATATAAAAATATTTTTTATAAATTTGATATAGCTTAAGTGTAGTGTTTATAAAGTCTACAGTATAGATCCTGAGTATGAGAAAAATGCAAAAGTATTAAAAGTAAAATAAATTTAAAAAAATTTTAAGTCTACAGTAGTGTAATGTCCTAGGCTTCACATGCACTCAACACTCACTCAATGACTCACCCACAGCAACTTCCAGTCCTGCAAACTCCATTTGTGTTAAGTGTCCTATACATTTTTTTCTTTTATACTGTATTGTTACTGCACCTTTTCTGTTTGAATAAACAAATACTTACCATTGTGCTACAACTGCCTAAGGTATTCAGTACAGTAACATGCTGTTTAGTCTAGGTTTGCAGCCTAGGAGCAGTAGGCTAGACCATATATCCTAGGTATGTAGCAGGCTATATAACCATCTAGGTTCATGTAAGCAGACTCTATGATGTTTGCACAATGACTGAATCACTAAGGATGCACTCATTTCTCAAGACATGTCCCTGTCATTAAGTGATGTATGACTATATTAGTTTAATTATGTCACCTCTTAATCCCAAATATCAACATGTAAATTCTGTTCCAACATGGTTGCCTAATATGAAATGTATGACTTCAGAAATTCCAATAAATTTAATTCATCTCAAATACCTTTTAATTTTAGTGGGTTACAGAAAGTGAGGAAAAACATGCTAAAGAAGCAATGTGTTTCTTAATTAGAAATGTAAGAAAAAAATTCATTCATTCATTAGTTGATCTTCTATATTGCAGGTATTAGTAGGAATAGAAGCTGGTACATGTGATCTGGCCAAAGATGAGAGGCAATCATGTCTGGGAAGAAATTCATGAACCAGAGTCTTCAGATATCTATTAAAGGCCCAAACCACTTGTTAATTTAGACCATGTGACTGAATAACAGGCATGTAAGAAAGATCTGGTGAGCCAGCATGCCACTTAAGATAAAAAATGTTGAGAAATAACAAATACTTGTGAAAATTCATATATCTGTTATTGGCAGTTTTGAATTTTATGAAAGCAGGAGATGTTAGTTTGCAAATAGTAAAATCAGTGCTAAGACAAACATTTCAAATATTAAAAAAATACTACAAAGGTACAAAGGAGAAGTTATGGCTCAACATTCATATAAAAAGGGCCAAAGAGTTTAAATAACTAAAAAGTCAACATAAAATAATAATACTATCTTAGATTGTATTAATAGAAACAGGGTATACAAACACAGCAGTTTAATAGCTTTTATCAATTATTACATCATAGTATTATATCTGTATCACTAACATCAGATCTTAATATGGCATTTTAATTTTAAAAATTTTTGTCAGGTTGGTCTTTCCAGAAGAGAAGCAAATCAGAAACAGGAGGGTTTTTTGTTTTTTGTTTTTGTTTCTTTGAGACAGAGTCTCGCTCCGTTGCCCAGGCTGACAGTGCAGTGACACAATCTTGGCTCACTGCAACCTCCGCCTCCCGGGTTCAAGCAATTCTCCTGCCTCAGCCTCCTGAGTAGCTATAACTACAAGTGCCTGCCACCACGCCTGCCTAATTTTTTTGCATTTTTAGTAGAGACAAGGTTTCACCATGTTGGCCCAGTTGGTCTCAAACTCCTGGTCTCAAGTGACCTGCCCGCCCCGGCCTCCCTAAGTGCTGGTATTATAGGCATGAGCCACTGTGCCCGGCCTGTACGAGGATTTTGAAACCACATCAAGTAAGAAATTCATTCCTTCATTCATTCTGCAAACATGTACTAAATGCCCAATATGTATCAGATGTTGTTCAAACGTTAGGGATTCAGTGTTGATTAAGCCAGACAAAGCTACTGCTTTCATCAAGCTAACTTGCTAGTGAAGAAGGACAACTAAAGAACCTGATAAAGACACTGAACTGAATGTCAAGAAACCTCAGAACTAACTCTGGTTGACTGTTCATTAACCATGCATTTGTTATTAATATAACTTTATTTAAGCTTCAGTTTCTTTAGCTATAAAAACAGACCCAACAAACACACATACAGTTTTAAAGAGAGCTAAAAGAGGCCAGGCACAGTGGCTCATGCCTATAAGCCCTGCATTTTGGGAGACTGAGGCAGGTGGATCACCTGAGGTCACAGTTCAAGAGTAGCCTGCCCAAAATGGTGCTAAATGGTCTACTAAAAACACAAAATTAGCTGGCATGATGGTGGGCACCTGTAACCCCAGCTAGTCGGGAGGCTAAAGCAGGAGATCACTTGAACCTGGAAGGTAGAGGTTGGAGTGAGCCAAGATTGCATCACTGCACTCACTCCAGCCTGGGTGACAGAGTGGGACTCGGAGTGGGACTCTGTCTCAAGAAGAAAAAAAAAGAGAGAGAGCTAAAAGAATAAAATCCCTTCCAATGCCAAAACGATATAAAAATAAAACGAATTCTAGGAGTACAGAATAACCTTATTCAAATATCTGCAGGGCCACCTTGTGGAAGAATCAGAAGTATTCTATAGAGCTCCAACAGAAAGAGGATCAGTGATGGCTGTAAGTGACAGAGACATGATTCTATCTTGGTCGAAGAGAAAATTTTCAAATAATTAGCTCCTTCCAACAAGTAACTTGTCTCTCCAAAATACAAAGTGTTAGTAAAGCCTTGAAGCAGATATTATTTTACTTTTACTGTTTTGCAACAGAACTCCTAGATTGCTACTTCTGAAGCAAGCTAATGGCTCAGGTTTATCAGTCCCAAATCATTTGAGGCAATACAAATGAGGGACAACCCACTGAACATACTCTGTAATACAGTAGTTCTCAACTGGGGGTGATTTTGTCCCCCAAGGGGCATCTGGAAATGTTTGGAGACATGTTTGGTTTTCATGACTTGGAGGGCTGGGGGGTAAAGGGAATATTGGCATCTAGTGGGTAGAGGCCAGAGATGCTGCTGAATATCCCACAATGCGCAGTACAGCCCCCTATAACAGAGTTATCCAGTCCAAAATGTTAATAGTGCCAACAGTAGGAAACTCTGATGTTAGGTATTATCTGTAAACCATTTATTATATATATTTGCCTGTGTTGCCAGACTCCATGCCACCTGTAGTGAGTTTTTTTGTTTGATTTTTTTTTTGAGACCGATTCTCGCTCTTGTTGTCCACACTGGGGTGCAATGGCGCCATCTCAGTTCACTGCAACCTCTGCCTCCCAGGTTCAAGCGATTCTTCTGCCTCAGCCTCCTGAGTAGCTGGAATTACAGGGATGCACCACCACGCCTGGCTAATTTTTGTATTTTTAGTAGATATAGGGTATCACCATGTTGGCCAGGCTGGTCTCGACCTCCTGACCTCAGGTGATCCGCACACCTTGGCCTCCCAAAGTGCTGGGATTACAGACGTTAGCCACCGTGTCCGGTGTTGAGTTCTTCATTAGACATTTTCAAGCAAAAGCTATAAACCTTTTGCTTGGAATCTCGGTGAGGGGAAGTGCTGTGTATGTTTAGTTCACCATGCTTCCCTGGCATTAGCACCTTTGCCTGGCAAAGAGTAGAAGGTCAATACTTCCATACTGGTTATCTGACTGTTAACTCACCAAGTTTATGAAGGGTGAGATTTTACCCTAACAGCCATTCAAAACCTAAAATTTTCTTATTCTAAAAATTGTTTCATATTACATTTGCTATTTATTTTCTCTCCTGGTAATATCAGCCCAAAAGCTGTCCTTTAGTCATTATGTACAAATATACATACATATAACATTTCAAAAACATAAACAGCTTAGGAATGATTTTGAAAATTAAATGTATATTGATATTTTCAGAAAATAATTAGAAATAAAAACTAAATTCTTATTACAGGTGTCCTTGAGCCAAAAGAGGAAATCCTCTCTAGTTATGGCTTTTCGGTAAAATAATATGTAGCTCTGAGAATCAGCTTATAACTAGGGCTAAGAAGTAAAATAACTTCTAAGTGTAGAGAACATATTTAGACTACCAATCAAATTTTACCTCTGTTCAAAATAATCATTTAGTTTCATTTTTAGTCCTTATTCACAGAAAATTATGGGCAGCTGGTAAAGTGGATATTGAAGTTAAATAGGAAGTGAATATTAACCCCCCAACAAGTCCTATTATTGGAGGTCATTAACTTTCTACCAGAAAAGGTAGTAAACTTAAAGCAAAAAAGTCAAATAAACTTCTGATTTCCCAGATCTCTGGAATAAACAGGTCAATAAATAACTTTTAAACAACTTATTTCAAGTAGTTTTAAAAGATTTTTTAAAAATATCTTATTAAATGACATTTAAACAGCTATTATTTATGCTTACCTCCAATTAACTTATACCTGTACTGAAAATTTCTTCAACTTAAAAAAAAGTGAAGTACTTGGCATTACAAAAAGTCAACTAAAAGGTAACCTTGCATTTTAAAGTTTACTTAAGGAAACATCATTGCCATGATCTTTTGGCTATATTTTTTAGGCTCAATAATCCCAAAATATATGACATAAAAAACTTCTCTATTTGAACATCTAAGATAAACAATCCTCAGAAATAATTACTGACAACTGGATAAGAGTGAACCACAACTGTATAAAACCAAAATATTTCACTGACTAAGGGGACTTGGAAAAAGAGAAGCATGCCAGGGAGAAAGCTGTTTAAATTATCTCCTAACTGTGAAATGACTAACTTACTAGATAAAACCAACAGGTGAAGACATGCTATATTTTCAGTTGAAATGACAAGATGTGACTATAATGGTAACTATACACAGAAAAGTCAAAGAAACCAAGGACTTTTCTGATGTAGTTACAATGGGTCATACTTACAGCCACAGAAGCCCACTGCCATGCAAAACAGTGACTGGTTGGCATCTGATCATGTGAGCGACAGCAGCCAATAATAGAAAATAAGAAGCAGAAGACAAAGCACCACCAATCAATGTCAAGAGTTGCTCTTGTATAATACTCTTGCTATACATAAACACCAAAAAAATGACTTCCACAATCTTATAATTATCTTTTTAAATTGATTCCATAGGAGTTTTAAAATTCCATATTAAGAGTAATAATCTGTGAGAATACCCAATTTTAAGTCTGCTTTTTATTAAGTTTAGAGTCAAATGTCAGTATCAAAGTTCCTATCAGTTGTAAAACCTCAAGGCATATTTGTTGAAATACAAAATATTTTTATTTTAAATACAAAAACTCTAAATTTTATTCATTTCCTATGTTTAATAGTCACCATTCAATTAGCTAAAATGTGCATTGGCAGCAACATTCACTCTAACCCAGGAGTCAGCTTCCCTTACTCATCCCCAAAACGTGAGAGGCTAATCAAAATATTTTTGTTCAAAAGTTTTAAGGAGAAAAAAAACTTTAAAAACAGAAAAAAAAGGTGACATTCATTAAGACTTTCAGTGTTTTGTGAGAAAATTTATCTAAGAAAAGTTAAGTTCAACTCATGGAAACAGTGGAAAACAAACATAATCTAGTATTCAACAATATTCTAGATACAACATACCACAACATTTAGAGGAAATGAAGGACCCATTCAATTCTCTAAAATAACCAAAGCAGCAGGAATAGGATAAAGACACTAAAAAAAATGCAATAGAAAGGAGGTGAGATTCAAAATTCGTGATTTATCTTACCGGTGCCATTCGTATTGCTGGGTGTGCTCCACAACCTTGCACTGCTTTATGAAGTGTTTCACCAAACATATTTCGAAGTTCAACCGAGTGACAATACACAGCATCAATCTTAGGCCACCAATCCAATGCGGACTAGAGAAAAACAAAGACCAATAGGAAGAAAAAGTACAAAATTACGTGAGTTGTATGCTCTGTTTATCACTGTAGTTTTAAGTTTTATCCTTTTGTCGGGAACTTTCTAAGACCATGCAAACACACACCATGATTTCCAAAGTCTTCAAACAACGTCTTTAATTCAAACACTAACTCATACATATTATATTATAAAACATAATAGTGAGCATGAGACAAATTGCCCACTTTATGAGCATGTGCATGTGAGACATCTTTTCTCGATGATTAGCCAGTGAATTTGAAAAATAAAGTCTTCAGAGAGCTAATCTGTAGCCAATCTTCTTTTTTTTTTTTTAAGTTTAATGTTTTACAATTTCTGGCACACGTGCATACATGGCATATATTTTCCCAGGTAAGAATGCTATTATCAAAGCTTTAAAAGTGATTAGTGGTTCAACACAGTATTAAAAGTGTATGTGGAAAACCATTACTTATATGTTTACAGACAACAATGATAATTACAACATGAAATTAGTAAATGAAATAAAACTATTAAGTAAACCTATAAATTGATATGCAATGATGACATGATATATGGGAGACTAACAATTACCATAAACAAAGACAAACTGATCCTAGTGAAATATTTTTTAAACAATTATTTTATGTATTTTCTATTTCAATTTACCCTGTTTAACTCTGATGTCTAGTTTTTAGTGCCTATTTTATTTGGAAGTGTATCTTTAACTTTAAAATGAATTACTTGATATATTATTAAAAAATGACAATTGTGAAAATCACTATATCTTTAAAGTCTATCATTTAATAAAAAACTGACTGGATGAATTTTCACTACATATGTAGACTATGCATTAAATGACCTAAAATGTAGGCTTCTAATTTATAATACTCCAGATGTTTATTTAAAAAATCTGGAAGAATAATACATTCAAATTGTAGATAAGAGGGATTGAATAGCCTCACATCTCTCACATTTCAGTCCCAGATTTTTTCTTATTCAAAACTAAGCTAATTGAAGTCTCGACATTTTAATTTCTTCACTTGGAATTCTCAGAATATTTTGAATAGCATCGAGTTATATTACCTTAACCCAAACTGTGGATTACAAATCCTGTTCGCCGGATAGTAAAATATAAAACCAACTTATGATACACATTTTGAATACTGAACTCCATTCAGGGAGGAATCCCAAAACTGGGAGGGAAGAAATGCTTTTTTGGGACAGTATGGTTGTTTACATTTTTCCCTCAACTCCTACTTTATTTAATCTAGTTTCTACAAATGATCAATTTTTAGTCTGATAGTATAATGGATTCCTCCAACTCTCAGCAATTTTGACTTGCCCAAAGCAACCAATGCAACTTGATTTCCTTATACTTACTAAATTATACAGCTTGTGTTAATCAGCCTAAAGTAACAAAAAGCTGAATAATAACAAAGTACATTGAGTGAAGGGTCTTCCTTACCCAACACATCTCGTAAGATCTTGTCAGAAACTGATAAACTAAGAAAGGCATCCCATATAACATCCTATTCAAATTACTGTGTCTTTTTTTAATAGCTTTTGAAACCGTATTGTGGTACCAGGTGCACCACATAAAATAACTTTAGGCTTAAGATTTAGTAATTTTCATAGTTTTCATTTTTCATAATATATTCATTTTAAAGTAAAATACACATTTTCAAATAAAATAAGTATGAAAAACTAGACATCATGTGGTTGGCAAAAAAGTTTAGTATTTTGAGCAGTTACTAAATGTGCCCTTCCTGAACACCAGTCAATTAAAGTAGACTTACTCTTTTTTTCCTTGAAAATACCATGTTTATAGCCAAATGGCAACACTTACATAATATGAACAAATTATGTGGCAATTCCTTAAGAGATTTAAATAATTTTCAAATGCCTTGGAAACAATTCCTTTCAACTACAACCTCTCAGTAGAAAGCAATCATCTCATTTTCAGTATGTGAACTATCCATATGTAAATTACGATAAATTGTCGTAAGGAAAAAACAGAAATAAGTAATATACCAGCTATAGCATGTACCAGTGATGGCTAAGATAATTGGTTCATAAGTGTGTATATTACTTTTTAAATTTCCCAATTACATATCTAATTTAACCTAAAGGAAGTCTATGAAGATTATGCATATAACATAGATCTTACAACTATTAATTCATCTCTTATGGCACATCATAATAAAAAAGATGACAGTACAACTACTATTTTAGTAACTGCTAGGAACCTGCATTATAATAAGAATCAAATAGTGGATATATTTTAGATTTTCTAAGAAGAAACACTAGAATATTTTAGATCTAAACTCAGTACTTATGAACTGAGTATGAGTATGTTTCACAAAAGTAGAACTCCAAACACCTTACTACTTCTACACAAACCCTCAATACACATCACTAAAACTTTTATCTTATTTGAGAATGTGATGCTTTAAAAAAAATGTGTGGACTGGCTAAAGAACCATGGGAGAAGAGAACTTATGAGGTACATTGAACCAAGAATCATTAGAAAAAAAATTTACACTACGAATGAATTTAAGATCAGAAGTCCAAATATCTAAGAATAATTTCATGTGATTTTTCAAGACAAAAATATTGCCATAATAAATGTCTTCAAATGAAACTCTAAAATAGTCAATCTCATAAATTTCTATATTCACTTTATAAATAGTCCTTTTCAACCAAAAGAGTACTTCAGATTCAATAGCGATTAGCCTCAAACCAAGGGGGAAAATATCCTAACGAGAAACAATTTCCCACACTATCTATAATAATAAAGTATCACTACCCAAAGCATAATTTAAAAAGATACTTTGAACTAATATTTATGTTCCTTTTCAAGCTATTTCATTGAAAAGTTACTGATACTTAATGTTTAAAAATTATTCAATGTAGTTTTTTTCTTTATAAAAACAGATTTTCATATAACTTGATCTCTGATACAGACACACTCCACCCTCCACACATGCAGTGCTCATTAGAGTAGAAGAGGATGCACAGCCACTTTCACCAAGTACACTGAGGCATGCATGAAGCACCACTCCAGGCATGCTTGGAACCCAGAAAGGAGCAGCTCAGCCACTTACAGCAGTGCCAAGTCCATGCTTGAAAGTGCTCTATGTAGTCAGTTGTAGACAAAAATATTTCACAATTAAAGTAACTAGCCACAAAGTATCAAAAAAGTATATATTTGGGTTTATTGTATACAAATTTTAAGCATTTATGCAAAGCTATCCACTCTTTGAATATTTTTAGTGTTCTGAGCCACAGCGGAAAAAAGCAATAATGACTTATTTCTGAGTTACACATAAACTTGAGGGGAGAAATCATCTTTTTGTTTTAATGGCCTTGAAAGTAAACCTTGAAGGTACAATGCCCTGGCTCATTACGCTGACAAAAGTACAGTGATTTTTTTTAAGTTTTTAATACAAACATACCTTATTTACAATCTTCATTAAACTTTCCCTTTTGGAACAAAGCATATTCAATGTTACTTTTACCTACAATTTAACTCAGTGATACTCAACTAAGGGAGGAGGTATCATTCCCTCAGGCATGTTTATTTGTTCATAATGACTAGGGATGGGGAGATGCAGCACAACTGGCATTTAATGAAATGAGGCCAGACGATCTTAAAGGTCCTGCAATGCCCAAGGCATCCTGCACAACAAAGGACTGTCCTCCCAAAATGCTCACTAAACACCTGCTGAGAAAAATTAAATGTATCACCAAATAGCTTTATCAATAGTTAATTTTCCACTGCAGGAATGGATAGAATATGGGCAGTATTTATTTTAAATAAATACAACATCCAGGGCAAATGAGGTGAAGGGTTATTTTCAACTCACCAGAGGCACAGTCTTAAAATGGAATTTGATTATAAACAGGTCAAATATACTAAGTTATCAATGATTACAGCCTCCTTTAAGGAAGGAAAGCATCAACCAATTTACCCATAAATGTGAGTATCATTTGATAAAAGTGGAACAATGGAAAATAACACTTGAAAACTTTCAAAATAGGGTTGTTCATTATTACAAGAACAGAATTTTAAAAATCCACAGTCCAAATCTGATAGTTTTGCTGTCTATTTAATGTCTCCACATCAGACAGAGTTGAAGGTTTCGCAAGTACCTTTTAATGATTTCACTTACTTTGTCTGATATGCTTTTGTATCTTGTTAATACCTACTTTAAAGTATGTTAATATTTCATTTTGTTTAAGAAAAATGAAATTTTACACTATGAATGAATTTAGGATCAAAAGATTTAAAAGTACCATCAAATATAGTCCCATCATTTTGTCAATGTGCTATACTAGACTACAACATAAATACTATTACTTTTAACTTAAATGGTAAGGTGGCAAGTCAATGTATCAAATGCTGAAATAATATGTTTGAAAAGCTTCGGGATGAAAATTTTAAACTGTATTTTCAGTGACATTTTTCTCAAGGGCTTCTGATCTGAATAAAACGTTTTAGATTTAATCTTTCCAAAGCATCTTATTAACTCCATCTTCCTTAATATGGTCCCTTCGGTCAAGACTTAATATGAAAAATACAAATATTTATCAATTATCAAATAGAATCACCATGGAGAAATTTTCCTATTTCATACATCTAAATTCAGAACCTTTTTGAAAACCAAGAGTGCATTTCTTAAAAAGAAATACGCAAAGAAAAGAAAGAAAAAAATTTTTTTAGTAATTTAGCAATACCTTTTGGACTTACATTGGTGATGATTCGATGGAGTGAATTTACCAGCACATAGTGAAATGTAGAAGGTGAATTCTGAGCCAGGCAGATCTATAGAAAAAGAAAAAAAAAAGCAGATTATTTCTATGAGAAAAATACTCAGTAATACAAATGAAGCCAAAAAGAACAGCAAATAGAAAGTTTAAAAAAAAAACACTAAGTTTTTAAGGTCTTGAAACGAACATCAATACATAATAGTGAGAAATACCGATAAAAGTGAACCTATTAATCTCTATAGTCTTTTTGTTTATAAAGGATAACAGCATCAGTAAATATAGTTAGATAAAAACCAATGCTCTCACCTTAAAGTGTTGGTTGTTGTGAGGGCTTATACGAAAGCAAGAAACAAGGCAGTCAATCATTAGATCCACATCTGCAGGCTGACTGCCTCTTGAGAATGGCTTACTTGGATTAAAAAGCAGGTTCTATAAAAACCCCAACAGAAAACAAAAGCCTTTAAATACCCATGCAGTATTTCTTTACTAACATGTAATAACATCAACACATTACCCACACAAATGGCAGTAAAATCCAGCTGCCAGAAGAAGCACAAAGCACCCATACTGTGGTTCATCAGTCTGATACAATTCTTCCTATACCATATATAGGTTCATTTCAGGCCCTAATTGCCACATTATTTTAAACCCAAGTCTGTATATTTATGCTTATTTAAGAAAATGGTGTTTTCTTCATATTCTCAGTCCATTTAGGCTGATGAACACAGTAACAACAAAAGCAAGTCCTATGAACTTATCAACGAAGAGTCAGAACTTTAATGTTAGCAATTATCTTTGACATAATACTTATGCTAGAAAATTCATTTAATTTTCTTAAAGTTTGTAGTAGAGAAAGAATAAGCATGTTACCTTAAGATCAACCACCATGGACTGAACAAGTAGGAAAATGACAGAGTTATCTTCCCAATTGATGTAAGTACTTGCTTTACACAGTTTGACACAGGCAATTGCAGCACTTTCTGTCAGCTGCCTACTTCCTCCATGGCCAGCAAGAGCTTTTCGTAGACTGTCCAGAAATAACTTCTACAGAATTCAAATATAGCGATAAGATAATATATGAAGTTTCTTCTATTCCAGATGTAGCTAATATTATAGCAAATTAACAGCCTCTAAAACTCATACTATAAAGAATGCATAATTTATATTTGTGGTTTTCAATTTCATAATTTAAGTAGTGGTCATCATTTAAATGTTTCTCAAATTTAAAAAAAATCCTTTTTCTATTTTCTTTATTGAATTATTAAAGGAATACAAAAAACAGTCCTTCCCAAACAAGCTGTTTTCTGAACTTCTTTTTTTTTTTTTTCCCAAGATGGTGTCTTCCTCTGTTGCCCAGGCTGGAGTACAAAGGCACGATCTTGGCTCATTGCAACCTCTGCCTCCCAGGGTCAAGCGATTCTCCCGCCTCAGCCTCCAGAGTAGCTGGGTTTACAGGCGCCTGCCACCATGCCTGGCTAATTTTTGTATTTTTAGTAGAGACAGGATTTCACCATGTTGGCCAAGCTGGTCTTGAACCCCTGGGCTCAAGTGATCCTTCTGCCTCAGCCTCCCAAAGTGCTAGAATTACAGGCATGAGCCACCACACCTAGCCTTCAACTTTGAATTCAGCTGACCATATCTTCTTTTTGATATTTAAAGTCTAAATATTATACTTTCTTGGCTCTGGTCTATGATAAACTGTTCCACCCTTTTCTAACACTCCAGGTTATATTCAACCTTCAGCCTTCTAAATAAGAATATATTCAAGGCTGTTCTGTTGCTCTAAATTTGTTTCTCAAAAAAAATTACCTATTCTTGTGATGTCAACCCCTCTTTACAGTTCATTAACAAATGTCTTCCTTTGGCTTTTCTCCTAAATGAATGCTCAAATGTAACATGTCAAAAACTAAACTCACCCAACACCAGCACAATATATTCTTCTCAAGTGTACATGGAACATTCTCCAAAACAGACCTATGTTAGGCTACAAAATAAGTCTTAATACATTTAAAGAAACTGAAATCATACAAAGTATGTTTTGTGATCATAATGGAAATGAAAAACCAACAGCAGATAAAAAAACTAAAAAATTCACAAATATGTGAAAATTTGTGAATGTTAACTAATAGATCAAAGGAAAAAATCACAAAGGAAATTAGAAACCAACGTGAGATAAATGAAAACGAAAACACAACATACTAAAACTTATAGGATGCAGTGAATGCAGAGCTAAAAGAAAAATGTAAACCTGTAAACACTGACATCAAAAAATAAGAAAGTTCTCATTCAATAACCTAACCATATACCTCAAGGAACTAGAAAAAGAGTAAACTACACCAAAGCTAGCAGAAGAAAGAAAATAATAAAAATTAGAGTGAAAAGAGAGAACAGAAAAACAATGGAGAAAAATTACAAAACCAGAAGCTGATTCTTTGAAAAAGTCAACAAAACTCTAGCTAGATAGGTTAACAAAAAAATAAATAAATAAAAGAGAGACAGAGAGAAAGAACACCAAATTACTAAAGTCAGATATGAAAGTGGTGACACGGCCAGATGCAGTGGCTCATGCCTGTAATCCCAGCACTTTGGGAAGCCAAAGCAGGCGAATCACTTGAGGTCAGGAGTTTAAGACCAGCCTGATCAACATGGTAAAACCCCCATCTCTACTGTAAAGAAGACAAAAATTACACAGGCATGGTGGTGCATGCCTGTAGTCCCAGCTACTAGGGAAGCTGAAGCAGGAGAATCACTTGAACCCAGGAGGCAGAGGTTGCAGTGAGCCAAGATCTTGTCACTGCACTCCAGCCTGTGCGAAAGAGCAAGACTCTATCCCCCCCACCCCCTCAACAACAACAAAAAAAGTGGTGACACTACTGATTTTGCAAAAATAAAAAGAATTATGAGACGATACTATGTAAAACTGTATGCCAACAATTTGGATAACCTGGACAAAATGGACAAATTTCTACAAACACACAGTCTACCGAAACTAACTCATGAGGAAATAGAAAATCTAAATAGAACTATAACTAGTAAAGGGATTAATCAGTAATCACAAAGCTCCCAAAGAAAAGGCTAGGACCAGATAGCTTTCACTGGTTGATTCCACCCAACATTTAAAGAATGCTTCTCAAACACTTCCAGAATATTAAAGAGAAGGGAACACTTCTCTTCATTAGTTCTATGGTCCAACATTACCGATACCAAAGCCAGACAAAAATACTACAGGAAAACTACAGACTAATACACCCTAGGAATACTGATGAAAAACTCAACAAAATCAGCAGCCTATTAAAAGGATGACACACCATGACCAAGTGAAACTTACTCCAGGAGCACAAGATGATTCAACAATGAAAAAATCAATGTAATATACCACATTAATAGAATGAAGAAGAAACTCCACATGATCATCTGAATCAATACAGAGAAACCACTTGACAAAGTTCAACACCTGTTATGATAAAAAAACACTCAAGCTAGGAATAGAAGGAAATTTCCTCAACATCGTAAAAGCCATGTATTAAAAACCAATAGCTAACAACATACTCAATAGTGAAAGATTGAACGTTTTTCCCCTAAGATCAGGAACAGGATGAGGATGCCCACTTTTTCTTCTTCTATTTGGCATAATACTAGAAATTCCGGACAGAGCAAGTAGGCAAGAAAAAGATGGAAAATTCATTGAATTTGGACAGAAAGAAGCAAAACTATGTCTATTCACAGATGATATATATGTAGAAATCCCTAAAGATGACACATACACACCAAAAACAAGCTGTTAGAGCTAATAAATTCAAAGTCACAGAATACAAAATCAGCACACAAAAATCAGCTGGATTTCTATACATTAGCAATGAAAAATACAAAAAGGAAATTAAGAAAACAATTCCACTTACGATAGCATCCAAAATAAAATACATAGGAATTAATCAGGGAGGTGAAAAACTTAATAAAAAACTACAAAACATTGCTGAAAGAAATTAAACATAAATAAATGGAAAGATATCTCACGTTCCTAGATTGTTAAGGTAACAATATTACCCAAAGCAATATACAGATTCAATGCAATCCCTATCAAAATCCCAATGGTATTTTTTGCAAAAAAAAAAAAAAAAAAAGCCAGGCGCGGTGGCTCACGCCTGTAATCCCAGCACTTTGGGAGGTCGAGGCGGGCAGATCACGAGGTCAGGAGATGGAGACCATCCTGGCTAACATGGTGAAACCCCGTTTCTACTAAAAATACAAAAAAAATTAGCTGGGCATGGTGGCGGGTCCCTGTAGTCCCAGATACTTGGGAGGCTGAGGCAGTAGAATGGCGTGACCCTGGGAGGCGGAGCTTGTAGTGAGCCGAGATCGCGCCACTGTACTCCAGCCTGGGCAACAGAGCGAGACTCCATCTCAAAAAAAAAAAGGAAAAACCCATCCTAAAATTCATATGGAATCTCAAAGAGCCGCATAATAGTCAAAACTATCTTGAAAAAGAATAAAGTTGGAGAACTCACACTTTCTTATTTGAAAACTTACTACAAAGCTACAGTAATCAAAACAATGTGGTACTAGCATAAGCACAGTCATACAGACCAATGGAATAGAGAGCCTAGAAAGAAACCCTCACACATATGACCAATTTTTGACAAAGATGCTAAGACCATTCAATAGAGAAAGGATGGTCTTTTCAACAAATGATGCTAGGAAAACTGATTATCCACATGCAAAAGAATGAAGATGGACCCTTTTCTTACATCATATACAAAAATTAACTCAAAATAGATCAAAGACCAAAACTTAACAGTAAAGCTATAAAACTCCTATAAGAAAATATAGGAAAAAAAAATATTTTCAACATTGGATTTGGCAAAGATTTCTTGTATATGATACCAAAAAAGCACAGGCAACAAAAGAAAAAACAGATAAACTGGATTTCATCAAAATAAAAACTTTTGTGTATCAAACGACACTATCAAGAAGATGAAACAACAATCCACAGAGTGGGAGAAAATACTTGCAAATAATGTATCTCATAAGGGGTGAATAACCAGAATATATTAAAAATTCCTATAACTAAAAAATAAAATAAAATTTAGAGCCTTACAAATACTTTACAGTTTTTTTAAAAACTGAAAATAGATGAACCAAGCCATTGCCTCAAGAAATAACAGTATAAATAAAATGAAAGCTAAAATTAATGAAACAGAAAAATTTAAATGCTAGGAAACAAAATCAAAGCCTAGGTTTTAAAGACCAATAAAATAGTAAACGTGAATGAGGAAAGAGAAATGAGTAAACAGTTACAAACATGGATACTAAAGATAATTATATGAGAATATGGAAATATAATATAACCTTTATATAATTGTACAAAATATGTAAGTATTATATACAACTCTGCACTGATAAAACTGAAATATATATTTTCTAGCAAAGAACAAACCATCAAAAGTGACTTTAAAAACAACAGAAATTCTTCAAAAAATCAAAAATAAAATAACCATATGATCCAGAAATTACACTTCTGGATATATATTCAGAAGAATTAAAAGCAGGGTCTTGAAGTTATTTGTACACCCATGTTCACAGTAGCATTATTTATAATAGCCAAAAGGTGGAAACAACTGAAAAATCCATTGGCAGATGAATTTAGATAAATAAAATGTTGGTATATATATACAATGGAATATATCACTCAGCCTTAAAGAGGAAGGAAATCCTGACATGCTACAACATGGATGAATACTATTTCAGCCATAAAAAAAAAAGAATGAAATCCTGTCTTTCAAGGCAACATGAATGGAACTGGAGGACATTATGCTAAGTAAAATAAGCCCATGTCAAAAAGACAAATACTGTATGAGTCCACTTATATGAGGTAGTCAAATTCAGAGAGACAGAAAGTAAAAGGACGGTTGCCAGGAGTTGAGGGTAGGGAAGAACGGAGAGCTGTTTAATAGATACAGAATTTGTTTTGGAAGATGAACAGGTTTTGGAGATTGATTGCACAACGATGTGAAAGATAGTGCTACTAAACTGTATGCTTAAAAATGGCTAAGATGGTAAATTTGATGTTACGTGCATTTTACCGCATACAAAATTTTAAAGAGACAGAAAAACTACACAGATCCATAAGGGAGCTCAAATAAAAGGTGATTAATGAGTTATTTTAAATAGACAATAAACAGGCTAGTTCTAGAAAGAGCATAAGAAACCAGTAGCAGTACTTGACTTAGGAAAAAAAGTATAAACTGAAGGTCAAGAGTGAATAGGAAGCTTACTTTTCCACTGAATTCCCTTCCTGATGTACAGTGAAAATTTCCATTATGTCAATTTATTTTTTTTCTTTAAAACTAATGATAAGCAAAAGTCAAAGGAAATCCTAACCTTGATGATTTTACAATGATTTCTATCTAATCAGATAATTTCTATTATTTAAATTATTCCGGGCCATAGAAAAGACTGATAGTTCCCAAATTCACATTACTAATTTGGCACAAATAACTGTTCGAATAATTAGTTACTTTCAAAAGTGATAATGCATATTATGTTAATTATACATATTTTCTAAGCATCAGAAAGCTGAAGCACTGGAAGGAAATGTTTTATTAAGCAGCTACCCAATACATTTGCCAATAGCCAACCAAGTTTACCTCACACACACAAATGAACATACTAAAAGTAAAGATTTCCAAATATATTTCAGCTCCAAATTTAAAGTGAACATTTAAATAACATAGAAACTATCTGACTGGATACAATTCAGCTCTAAAACTAGAGTTCAGGGCCCTTTATCTTTTGTTAATTATTAATTTTAAATTTTTTGATGTATTAATATTTATGAAGAACATAGTAACATTTTCATAGCTATACAGAGATCAAATCAAGGTAATTAGCATACCCATCATCTCTTATCATTTCTTTGTGCTGGGAACATTCAACATCCTCCTCCTAGCTCTTTGAAACTTTGTAACATATTGTTAATTACAGCCATCTTACAGTGGTATACAACACTAGAACTTACTCTTCCTATCTAGTTGTAATTTTGAATCCTTTAACAAATCGTTCCCTACCCTCCCCGCACCCTATCCTTCCCAGCCTGTAGTATTCTGTTCTACTTTTTACTTCTGAGATCAACTTTTTTTTAGCTTCCACATATGAATGAGAACACTCAGTGTTTAATGTTCTGTCCCTGGCTTATTTCACTTAATATAATGTCCTCCAATTCAATCCACGTGCCTCAAAATACAGAATTTCATTCTTTTTTATGGCTGAATACTATTCCATTGTGTATATATACCATATTTTCTTTACGCATTCATCTGTTGTTAGATACTTAGGATGATTCCATATCTTGGCTATTGTGAATAGTGCTGCAATAAACATGGGAGTACAGATGTCTCTTCAATATACTGATTTCCCTTCCTTTGGATAAACGTCCAGTAATGAATTGTTGGATCACATGGTAGTTCTATTTGCAGTTTTTTGAGGAACCTTCACACTGTTCTCCATAGTGGCTGTACTAGTTTACATTCCCACTAGCCACATTTAAGAGTTCACTTATCTCCACACCTTTGCCAGCATTTGCTATTTTTTGTCTTTTTGATAGTAGCCATTCTAACCGGGGTGAGATGATATCTCACTGTGGTTTTGATTTGCATTTCCCTGATGACTAGTGATGTTGAGCTTTTTTAAAAAATATATCTGTTGGTCATGTGTCTGTCTTCTTTTAAGAAATGTCTATTCAGGTCCTTTGCCCATTTTTAAATTTTTTGTTGTTGTTTTGTTTTGTTTTGTTTTGTTTTTTGCTGTTGAGATATCAGAGTTCCTTGTATATTCTGGATATTAATCCTCTGCTGGATACATACTTTGCAAATATTTTCTCCCATCCTGTAGGTTGTCTTTTCACTCTGCCAATTGTTTCCTTTGCAATAACGTTAATTTTTTAAAGAAAAGTAACTTAAATGCTTGACAATATGGAATTTAAAATATGGTACATTCAAGCTGGGTGCGGTGGTGCATGCTTATAGTTGCAGCTATCTGAAGGCTGAGGTGGAAGAAGATCGCATAAGCCCAGAAGTTTGAGACCAGCCTGGGCAACATAATAGCAAGACTTAGTCTCTTTTTTAAAAAATGGTATATTCAATTTAGGGAACACCATACAGCAGTTAAAGACAATGACCTAGATGAACAATGGTTCTCAAACTTCAATGTGCATCACAATCACCTGAAGGACTTAATAAAAATGGCTGTTTTTAGTGAGAAACTAAGTATTTAGTTAGAAACTAAGAACTGGCATTTCTCACAAATTTCCAGGTGACGCTGATGCTGCTGGTCTAAAGACCACACTTTGAGAAACACTGAACTATATACCTATCTGTCTATCTCCCCATCCTCATAAAAATATAAAAGCTAGACTGGAAGAATATACATTTAACCCTTTGCAGTGGCTGTCCCTGGGAAAGAAAAAAAAGAAATTAGTGGGATTCGTAATTAAATCAGAATTTATGGAAGTATTACTTATTCACAATTTTTAAAAGCCATGTGAGGACTTAGCTCTGATTTTTTAACTTGCCCAAACTCCTACCTAAGGGGTCTAGGAAGTCATGCCCTACAAACCATAAATTCTCATCAGATGGGTTTTATTTGACGCTATATATCGTGACTTACTTTTCAATCTGACTCTGGCATAACATTATGAGACAAGGAAAAAATATTTAGCCCCAAAATATATTTCCTTGCCATACCTTGAAATTTGCCGTGCAAAGTCTCCTGTGGGGAAAAAACATCCACATTCTATAGAGAATCCCCTTTTCCCTTTGTTTTCCTTCTTTCCTTTCCAGATCCAGGAGATTAATCGACTAAGAGCCAGGCACTCTTTTAGGTCTAATAAGAAACATTTTACAACCTTCTCTCTCTCTGAAGTCTGCTGAGAGATTCCTCTGCACAACAAAATCTGGTCTCCACAATCCTTTATCTTAACCTGGACATTCCTTTCCATTAATCCCAAGTCTTCAGACAAACTCAACCGTCAACCAGACAACGTCTAAATTTACTTATGGCCTGGAAGCCCCCACTTTGAGTTGTCGCGCCTTTCTAAACCAAACCAATGTATTTCTTAAATGTATCTGATTGATGTTTCATGCCTTCCTAAAATATATCAAACCAAGCTGTACCCCAACCACTTTGGGCACATGTTCTCAGGAACTCCTGATGGCTGTGTCACGGGCCATGGTCACTCGTATTTGGTTCAGAATAAATCTCTTAAAATATTTTATAGAGTTTGACTCTTTTCGTGGACACATATATAAATTTCTCAAAAGATGAGCAAAATATAAAAATGTTAATAGCAGTATGGGAAACTGTTACATTCTTTGTACATTTCAAATATTTCTTTTTAAAAAAAGATACTATAGTCAAAAGAAACAGGTGACTGGAAAAACATTTACAGACTAAAAATGTAGGATTACTGCTCTGAATATACAAAAAGTTCCGCGAATTCATAAGGAACTGGAAGCAACATAACAGAATAATAGGTAAAGGAAGTCAACAGGCACCTGCAAAAGAAAACATGCAAATGGCAAAGAAACATATGAACTGTTTTCAAACCTCACTAACCTTAAAAAGAATAAAAATTACAATGAGATACTATCTTTGTTCTCAACACTTGAGAATTTTAATTAGTGCTCTCATTTGGAAAATTAATGTTTAAGCCATTAATACTTTTTTCTTTTATATCACTTATTAAATATGAACTTTCAGAATAGTCATGTAACTACAACCACGATCATGACATAGAACATTTCAAACATCACCACAATCAATCCCCTACTGCTCCTTTGCAATAAATTTCCTCCCCTAACTCTCACTCCTGGCATCCACTGATCTGCTTTCTGTCCTGAATTTTGTCTTCTCTGGAAGTTTTAAGAAATCATATAGTATGTCATCTCTTGACCCTGGCTTCTTTCACTTAGCATAATATTTTTGAGATTTACACATGTTGCCGAGTCAGTAGTTCCTTTTTATTGCTGAATAGTATTCCACAGTTCCAAGGCATCACCACTGGTTTATTCATTCACCAGCTGAGGGACATTTGGGCTGTTTTCAAATTTGCGCTATTATAAATAATATGTATACTCGAGTATACATCCTTGAGTGAAGGTATATGCCTTTGTGTGATTTTTTATTTTCATATTATAGGTACACAACATAATTTTCATTTTCTTCAAGATTGTAACTTGCCTTCAACATTTGTATCTATGGATTAATATTCACAGAGATAAATATTTAAATCTATACACATATTCTTGTTCCTAACCTTATGTTATCATTCTATGCTTGAAAATTTACAACATATTTTTAATGCTAGTATCTACTGTTTGCTTCCTTTCTGAATGACATTTTTTCAGCTTTATTGAGGTACGATTGAAAAATAAAAATTGTATATATTTAAGGTGTACAACATGATGTTCTGATAAACTTATACATTCTAAAATGAGTACCACAATCAAGGTAATAACATATCCATCACATCACACAGTTTACCTCTGAAAGAGAAGGTAAGAATACCTGAGATGAGATACTATCTCACCTTATTAGTGTGGCAAAATTTTAAAGATTTAACAACAGCTAATCCTGACAAAAATGCAGGAAAATAGGCAATTCAGTGGGGATGAAACTCTGACCTGCTGCAACTATTGGGGAATGTAAATCTAGTAATAACTATTACAAATTTTAAATGCAAATGTTCTTGACACAGGAACCCCTAGTTTTTAGATTCTAGTCTATAGAATTAAGAGCATCAGTTAACAAGGATATATGAACAAGATATTTACTTAAGGCTTAGCTAAGTGTCAAAAAACTGAAAACATCTGAATATCCACCCATTCAGTGAAATGGCTGAGTAAATGAGGCTCATTAGTGTAACAGAATGTTACCTAATACTGAAAGGAATGTGTCAGATCTCTATCAACTATTTTGAGGAACAGCTAAAATATTTTCTTAGATAAACAACGATGCAGAGTAATGTGCATAAAATAATTTCATTTTAAAATACAACCACCACCACCCTACGTATGTATATTTTGCATTTGAATATATGGGTAAATAGATGTGACTGGAAGGATACATACCAGCCAATAACACTAACCAGCTCAGAAGGAATGTGAGTAGAAAAGGGTGAGAATACTATTTTATTTTTTTTGTTTTTTTGTTTTTTGAGATGGAATCTCGCTCTGTCGCCCAGGCTGGAGTGCAGTGGCATGATCTCAGCTCATGGCAACCTCCACCTCCCAGGTTCAAGCAATTCTCCCCGGCTCAGCCTCCAGAGTAGCTGGGATCACAGGAGCCTGCCACCATGGCCAGCTTTTTTTTTTTTTTTTTTTTGTAATACATTTTTAAAAATACATTTTTTAGCCAGGCGCAATGGCTCATGCCTGTAATCCCAGCACTTTGGGAGGCCCGAGGCAGGCAGATCACCTGAGGTCAGGAGTTCGAGACCAGCCTGACCAGCATGGAGAAACTCCATCTCTACTAAAACTACAAAATTAGCCGGGCGTGGTGGCGCATGCCTGTAATTCCAGCTACTCAGGAGGCTGAGGCAGGAGAATCGCTTGAACCCGAGAGGCGGGGGTTGCACTAAGCGGAGATTGTGCCATTGCACTCCAGCCTGGGCAACAAGAGTGAAACACCGTCTCAAAAAAAAAAAAAAAAAAAATACTTTTCTTTTTAATCCAGAAAGATTTAAAAATCTAAACTTTTAAATCTAGAAAATACCAGAAAAAAATTAAAAAGCATACTTCAAAAATCTTGGCACCTGCCAGACAAAAACATAACATGCTGAATGATTCCATTTGTATGAAATGTCTAGTTTAGAATTAAGTAAATCTATAGACAAAAAACTAGATTACTGGTTGCCAAGGGCTGCGAGTGAGGCGAGAGGAACAGGGAGTGATTACTAACGGGTTTCTTTTTGGGAAGATGAAAATGTTCTGCACAGAAACAATGGTGATGATTGTACAACTTTGTTAATGTACTAAAATCGCTGAATTTTACACTTCAAAAACGTAAATTTTATGATATGTGAATTATATCTCAATAAAATGAATAATATCTTCTGGGAAGAGAGATCTGACCAAAAAAGCTAGGAGACAAAAAGGAACAAGGCTGAGGTGACTACATGCAAATTTTAAATATCTATATAGTAAAAAGAACTCATAAAGTTTAAAAATGAAACCAAGTAAAAATGTACACATATACCCTTACAAATCAACAAAAGACAAACAATTCAATGGAAAAATCAGCAATTCCCTGAAGATACACAAATAACCAGTAAACACTTAGAAAGCTACAGTTGTGATTATTAAAACGTAAATTCACTCGAGTACTACTGAATCTATAGCTTATTTATTTATTTCTATTTTTCCAATAAACAACAACAACAAAAAACACCCTACTGTATTAGTCAGGGTTCTCTAGAGGGACAGAATTAAGGGAATAGATACTTATACAAAGGGGAGTTTATTAAGCATTAACTTACACGATCACGAGGTCCCACAATAGGCTGTCTGCAGGGTGAGGAGCAAGGAGAGCCAGTCCAAGTTCCAAAACTGAAGAACTTGAAGACCGACGCTGGAGGGCAGGAAGCAACCAGCACAGGAGGAAGATGGAGGCTGGGAGGCTAGGCCCATCTCTCTTTTTCACATTTTTCTGCCTGCTTATATTCTAGCCACACTGGCAGCTGATTAGATGGTAGCCAGCCAGATTAAGGGTGGGTCTGCCTTTCCCAGCCCACTGACTCAAATGTCAATCTCCTTTGGCAACACCCTCACAGGCACACCCAGGATCAATACTTTGTATCCTTCAATCCAATCAAGTTGACACTTAGTATTAACCATCACAAGTCCACCCCTTGTCAACTTGAACCCATACATATCTCCTGAGATCATACATAATCTTTAAATAAAGACAATAAAGTCATAATTATGCCTAACATAATACAATTATCCTTCGTACAACCAGAAACACACCTATCCCAACCCAAATACTAAAAGTTAACAATACTTAAAATGCTGATGTGAAGTCAATAAATCTTAAGTCATATGATAAAAGAAAAAGGAAATAAAATGAAGATATTTTCTTAGTACAGGTGTATACATGCACAAACATGTTTTTAACAAAAGGAGGAGGAAATACTCATGACAATTACAGTTGTTTCTGCAGCTGGTCATGCAGTCGTAGCTGGTATTGATGACTACCTTCTTCTACTAGCCATTCTGTATTCCCTTTGCCTTCAGCAAGCACCTCAGCAGGTGGTGGTTTTTTTCCTGGTAGAGTGACCCAAACCTTCATTCCTGAAGGGTCTGGGTCATTTGTAGTCCTGCCTGGATGGGGCTGTTGTAGTTTCCCATTTACCTTAATCACAGGGCATGGCAATACATGGTAATACTAAAAGACGCCCTAATGGATCTCCATGCATACTCTTCTTTACCTCCGCTATGGAGTAGTAGACTGATTTCATCTTGATAGTCAGGGTCAATCACCCCAGCCAACACTGTAACTCCCTTCTTAGCCTGTTGACTTAAAGGTAGGAGGAGCCCAAAGTGTGTCCAGGTGGCAATCTTAACTTCCAGTTTAATGGAATCGTTGTTGTGTCTCCTGGTGGCAGCGTTCCTCCCTCTGGAACTAAGACCTCTAGGCCAGCAGAACATAATGTCTCAAGAACGGGAAGAAAAATTTTCTAGTGGATCACTAGGGGTGATGGTGAGTGATTCCTGGACCCGGGAATCCTGGCTATGGGAGAAACAGTACCATATATTGGACACTGATTCAGAGCATACACAGCCTTCTGGAAAACTTTGCTCCAGCCCTGCAAAGTACTGTCTTCTAGTTGGCATTGTAATTGTGACTTCAAAAGGCCATTCCACTGTTCTACCAATCCAGCTGCTTCAGGATGGTTGGGAACATGGTTAAGACCAGTGTGGCCAGGCACATTGGCTCATGCCTGTAATCCTAGACTTTGGGAGGCCGAGGGGGGCAGATACAAGGTCAAGAGATTGAGACCATCCTGGCCAACATGGTGAAACCCCATCACTACTAAAAATACAAAAATTAGCTGGGCGTGGTGGCGCACACCTATAGTCCCAGGTACTCGGAAGGCTGAGGCAGGAGAATCGCTTGAACCTGGGAGGCAGAGGTTGCAGTGAGCCGAGATCGCGCCACTGCACTCCAGCCTGGCAACAGAGCAACACTCCATCTCAAAAAACAAACAAACAAAAACAGTGAATTCCATGAGCATGAGCCCACTGGCACACTTCTTTAGCTGTAAAGTGAGTGCCTTGGTCAGAGGCAATGCTGTGTGGAATACCATGATGGTGGGTAAGGCCTTTGGTGAGCCCATGCATGGTAATCTTGGCAGAAGCATTGCATACAGGATAGGCAAACCCATATCAGGAGTAAGTGTCTATTCCAGTGAGGACAAATCTCTGCCCTTTCCGTGATGGAAGAGGTCCAATATAATCAACAAGGTAGCTGGCTGATCACCCTGAGGAATGATGTCATATCAAGGGCTCAGTGTTGGTCTCTGCTGCTGGCAAATTGGACACTCAGCAGTGGCCATAGCCAAGTCAGCCTTGGTGAGTGAAGTCCACGTTGCTAAGCCCATGCATAACTTCCATCCCTGCCACCATGGCCACTTTGTTCATGGGCCCATTGGGCGAGGAGAGGGGTAGCTGGGGAAAGAGGCTAAGTGGCATCCACAGAACAGGTCACGCTATCCACTTGATTATTAAAATCCTTCTCTGCTGAGGTCACCTGTTGGTGAGCACTCACATGAGATACAAACATCACAGTTTTTAACCACTCAGAGAGGTCTATCCACATACCTCTTCCTCAAATCTCTTTGTCACCAATTTTCCAATCATGCTTCTTCCAAGTCCCTGACCATCCAGCCAAACCACTGGCTCCAGCCCATGAATCAGTATATAATCGCACATCTGGCCATTTCTCCTTCCACGCAAAGTACACAACCACGTGCACTGCTCAAAGTTCTGCCCACTGGGAAGATTCCCCTTCACCACTATGCTTCAGGGATGTCCTAGAAAGGGGCTGTAGTGCTGCAGCTGTCCACTTTCAGGTGGTGCCTGCATATTGTGCAGAACCATCTGCGAACCAGGCCCTAGTCTTCTCTTCCTCTGCCAACTGATCATAGGGAACTCCCTATGAGGCTATCAGTATAGGTGGGGAGAGAGAAGGTACGGTGGCATGAGTGGAGACCATGGGCATTTGAGCCACTTCCTCATGTAACTTACTTGTGCCTTCAGGACCTGCTTGAGCCCGATCGTGTATGTACCACTTCCACTTGATGATGGAATGCTGCTGTGCACGACCCACTTTACGGCTAGATGGGTCAGAACACACCCAGTTCATAGATAGGCAGTTCAGGTCACAAGGTGACTTGAAGACCCACAGTTAAACATTCCGTTTCCACCAAAGCCCAGTAACAGGTCAAGAGCTGTATCTCAAAAGGAGAGTAGTTATCTGCAGAAGATGGCAGGGCCTTGCTCCAAAATCCTAGAGGCCTCCGCTGTGATTTACCTATGGGGGCCTGCCAAAGGCTCGAAACAGCATCCTTATCTGCCACTGACACTTCAAGCACCATTGGATCTGTTGGGTCATATGGCCCAAGTGGCAGAGCAGCTTGCACAGCAGCCTGGACCTGTTGCAGAGCCTTCTCCTGTTCTGGACCCCACTCAAAACTGGCAGTTCTTTGGGTCACTGGATAAATGGGCCAGAGTAACACACCTAAATGAGGAATGGTGCCTCCAAAATCCAAGTAGGCCCACTAGGCATTGTGCCTCTTTCTTTTTTGTAGGAGGGGCCAAATGCAGCAATATTCTTCACCTTAGAAAGAATATCTTGACAGGCCCCACACCCCTGAAGCCCTAGAAATTTTACTGAGGTAGAAGGTCCCTAAGTTTTACTCGGATTTATTTCCCATCCTCTGGCACCCAAACGTCTCACCAATAAGTCCAGTGCGTTTGCTACTTCTTGCTCACAGAATCCAATCAGCATAATATCATTAATGTAATAGACCAGTGTCATATGTTGTGGAAGTGAAACATGACCAAGGTCTCTCCAAGTAAGATTTGTTTATATAAATTAGAAAACTCAAGCAGTTCTTTACGAGTGTAGCGCACCTCCTCATGGGTCACACTCTCAGCCTCACCTCTAGGGACCTGCTAGGACTTTAGTCTGGTTATAGGTCTAGAAGCAAACAGGGGTGTTGGGGGTGGCTTCTGAGGAGAATCAACATTATCTTGCCTGGCAACTGCCTCAGGGGAGGCCATTCCTGTTGCCTCAGGCAGCGCAGGGTTTATCTCTTCAGACAAAAGTGGAAAGGCTGATGGCAGCATGGCTCAGGGAGGGGATGTTGCCACTACTGGGGATGGGGAAGCTGTTTCTTCTGGCAAAAAAGGTTCATCAGAGTTTACAAACTCAGAGTCCCCAGCTTCATCAGGGTCCTCCCACACATGCCCTTTCCAAGTTGCAGGGTCCCATTCTTTTCCAATCAATGCCCACACTTTAACAGTAGACACCTGGTTAGGCTGTACATGCACCTTTTGTTGCAGGTCAGCCACTTGCATGATAAGAGTTTGTGTTTGTTTTTTCACAATTTCAGCTCTTTTTCTACAGGAGATAAGGGTCTCACTCAGGTCAATCTTAGCAGATTTGAGGCTCAGTATCTGCTTCTGAAGACAGGAGACAGAATCCCTGAGCTCATCATTTTCTATTTTATTTTTTTATTTTTTTTTTTTATTTTTTTTTTTTGAGACGGAGTCTCGCTGTCGCCCAGGCTGGAGTGCAGTGGCGCAATCTCGGCTCACTGCAGGCTCCGCCCCCTGGGGTTCACGCCATTCTCCTGCCTCAGCCTCCGGAGTAGCTGGGACTACAGGCGCCCGCCACCTCGCCCGGCTAATTTTTTGTATTTTTAGTAGAGACAGGGTTTCACCGTGTTAGCCAGGATGGTCTCGATCTCCTGACCTCGTGATCCGCCCGCCTCGGCCTCCCAAAGTGCTGGGATTACAGGCGTGAGCCACCGCGCCCGGCCCATCATTTTCTTTCACCACTTTGTCCACTGAATTTAGGAGCAACCAACCAGCTTCATTATGTTCCTTGGTTCTCCATATATGGTCAAAGGTATTATTATGTATAGGGTCACTAAACTCCTTGCCTCTCATTAGCGGTGAATCAGGAGTGTCAAATGCATTTATTTTGCAAACTCTCTAAACAGTTCACAGCAACGACTATCAGTGTTCTCCACAATATTAGAAGTAGAGTCCTTAATATTTTAGGGTCTAATCATATTAAGCAGCAAACTCCAGAAACCCCCAAACAAACTAAGAAACTCCATCCTTAATACTCCGTTCCTCTAGAACCACACTCCTTGTACCAAAATCTCTATTAGGGTTCTCTAGAGGGACAGAAGTAATAGAATATTTATATAAAGGGGATATTAACTATTAACTAGCACGATCACAAGGTCCCACAATAGGCCGTCTGCAGGCTAAGAGGCAAGAAGAGCCAGTCCAAGTTCCAAAACTAAAGAACTTGGAGTCTGATGTTCGAGGGCAGGAAGCATCCAACACAGGAGAAAGATGTAGGCTGGGAGGCTAGGCCCGTCTCTCTTTTCACATTTTTCTGCCTGCTTATACTCCAGCCATGCTGGCAGCTGATTAGATGGTGCACCACCCAGATTAAGGGTGGGTCTGCCTTTCCCAGCCCACTGACTCAAATGTTAATCTCCTTTGGCAACAACTTCACAGATACACCCAGGATCAATACTTTGTATCCTTCAATCCAATCAAGTTGACACTCAGTATTTATCATCAAACCTACTATTTTGAAGGGCTCCAAAACAATCTACCATGAAAAATGGTGTCCTCATAATGGAAAAGTTGAGATATACACCTAAGTGGAGTAACACGCAATCACAGACTCTCAAGGATTACCTGGTTCATTTATTTACCCTTTAATGTATAAATTCCCGGTCCAATACTTCTACAAAGTAATAAATCATTCAGCTGATTCTGAACATCTCCATCTACAGGCAAACCATGAAGGAAACCATCTCATGTTCAGCCAGCTAAGAGTATTTCTCCAAAAGCAGCAAAAAATGAAAAAAAAAATATTTGCAAAACAAACTGCATATTGAAATTTCAGTAAAACCCTAGGATTAATACTCAGTTCTTTTTTTTTTCAATCACCTAGGTGATATTTAAAAAAATTTTAAGAGCCTCCTAGAATTACCAGTTGTCATGGTGCCAATTTCACTATAGATGGTATATGCGAGAGCCTTACCTTCCTGGCAAAATTCTTTGAAAACTGTTCTAAAATACTTAAAATGAGTTACTAGATAATTTCAGTAGCACTATATGGACACATACCCTAAGTACATGCAAATAACACACTATAAAAGTGATGAACTCAAGTAGGGCAATCCTTGTAGTGAATATTAGAGAAACTACGTTTAATAATAACAGAGGTATCGTTTAGTCTTCTCAGACAAAAGAATGAAACTAAGGGATTATTTTAAATCTTTGTTCATTGCCTGGTATTATTTTCCCTCTGCCAAATAAAATTATGTATGAGTATGTCTCTTCTAAGTCCATCAAACAAAGAAACCTAAAATGATCATTTAAATGGTTCCCTGAAATACTTTGCTTAAATAATAAGCCTAAAGTAATACACACCTTGAGTAAAATAAACTGCTTCACATCTAGATATAATGGAAATAATTTTGCCCTCCTTACCTTATTCATGTTGTTTTCATCAACCACGTCTTTGGATATATCCTGGATTATTTCTGGACACAAGATAAGGAGAATGATTTGTAGTGGCCAAACTGCTGCTTTACGTTTGGTGCTTTCAGCAAAACCATCCACCAAGTCAAATAGCTTTTCTGCACATTCTGCATGAAAAATATATTAAATGACATTATTAGATAGGAACAAAATCCCTGGCATTAAAGTAAAAGCTGACACTATGTAAAAACCCAAGGGCAACATTTTTAAAAGATAAACATGGAACTTCATTTAAGCAACTACACAAATGCATTCTGGTAAGTAGACAAGCAATGTAATACTGTCTATGTGTTAGAAGAGCTATCTTGATCTATCCTGGAAAAGCTCACATTTTAGAATGGATGATCATGTATTCAGTCTCACTGTGAAGGGCCTTATGCAAAGTGTGATGTACCCAAGCAACAAAGACTGAACAGCTTCCCAAAAAGAATTACCAAAGTTCTCCAGGAGTCTGTATTCTCTGCCTTGCAGTTGTGTCTTACATTATAGGTGAGAATATTACTACTTTATACACATCTCCCTAAATACAAAATAAAGCTTCAGAGCACATGCTTCTCTACAACAAAGAGCCAAACACCCCATCCTATCACAGCTCTAAAGATCTGACCTTCATTTCAAACTACTTTGTTTGCTCCAAGGAAAGGAAGAGGGTTGGGCCTAATTTAGAAATGTAAGAGAAAAACAGTATTTCCTATTTGACACCAGTTGACAATAGAAGATGTAAAAGCACCTTTATAACAAAAATAACTTGGAAAACGATGATAGGTTTTTATGTCACAAGTAGGCATTTAAAAGACAAAAAAAAAAAAAAAATCAATCGTATCCTTACCAGCCATATCAGTCTGTGGGATCTGGTACAGTTTTGTAAATTCATCTGGATAATTTTCTACCCAGTTCCAAAATGCCTATAAATAAAGAACCACATGTCTTTACAGTGATTTTTTGTAATACAGTAAATAAAATGTCACAAACTTCTAACTTCCTTCATAATAATATTACAATGTATTCTTCCTGAAAATGAATGTGAAACTATCACTCAAGTCATAACTTTTTGATTCAGGATGCTAACAACAGCAAATTTTACATCAAAAACAAAATTTTAATACCAGAGAGGTTGTAACTTACCTTTTCCAGGCTATTTATAACTGCTAACTGCGCAACCTTCTTTAGGGCTTTAAATTTAAATGCTGTTTCTGGAAAAAACACAATTTTTAAAAATTAACTCTAGAATAAGTTAACACAAATACAACTCAGAGCAAAATAACTTTCCATTTACGTATTACTTTTGCTCCAATATTATCTGTAAGCAATGAAAGGTAAAGACACCTAACATAAACCCAAAACTCGATAGTTGTCTGCTAGGAAAGAAAAATTCCATAAACAGCAAATATGCCTTGGACATCAATGATTGTGAGCTTTTTCTTTTAATAACTTGCTTTTTCAAAAAAAAGTATAAAACACATACAGGATATTGGTTCCTCCTATCCATGAGCATGGAATTGTTTTCCATTTGTGTCCTCTCTTATTTCCTAGAGCAGTGGTTTGTAGTTCTCCTTGAAGAGGTCCTTCACATCCCTTGTAAGTTGGATTCCTAGGTATTTTATTCTCTTTGTAGCAGTTGTGAATGGGAGTTCACTCATGATTTGGCTCTCTGTTTGTCTGTTATTGGTGTATAGGAATGCTTGTGATTTTTGCACATTGATTTTGTATCCTGAGACTTTGCTGAAGTTGCTTATCAGCTTAAGGAGATTTTGGGCTGAGACGATGGGGTTTTCTAAACATACAACCATGTCATCTGCAAACAGAGGCAATTTGACTTTCTCTTTTCCTAACCGAATACCCTTTATTTCTTTCTCTTGCCTGATTGCCCTGGCCAGAACTTCCAATATTAGTTTGAATAGGAGTGGTGAGAGAGGGCATCCTTGTCTTGTGCCAGTTTTCAAAGGGAATCCTTCCAGTTTTTGCCCATTCAGTATGATATTGGCTGTGGGTTTGTCATAAATAGCTCTTATTATTTTGAGATATGTTTGATCAATCCCTAGTTTATTCAGAGTCTTTGGCATGAAGGGCTGTTGAATTTCATCAAAGGCCTTTTCTGTATCTATTGAGATAATCATGTGGTTTTTGTCATTGGTTCTGTTTACGTGATGGATTACTTTCATTGATTTGCATATGTTGAAACCAGCCTTGCATCCCAGGGATGAAGCCAACTTGATCATGGTGGACAAGCTTTTTGATGTGCTTGTTGGATTCAGTTTGCCATTATTTTATTGAGGATTTTTGCATCGATGTTCATCAGGGATATCAGCCTAAAATTTTCTCTTGTTGTTGTGTCTCTGCCAGGTTTTGGTATGACCATGATGCTGGCCTCATAAAATGAGTTAGGGAGGATTCACTCTTTTTCTATTGTTTGAAATAGTTTCAGAAGGAATGGTACCAGCTCCTCCTCTAGCTGAATCTGGCTGTGAATCCATCTGGTCCTGGACTTTTTTTGGTTGGTAGGCTATTAATTATTGCCTCAATTTCAGAACTTGTTATTGGTCTATTCAGGGATTCGACTTCTTCCTGGTTTAGTCTTGGGAGGGTGTATGTGTCCAGGAATTTATCCATTACTGCTAGATTTTCTAGTTTATTTGCACAGAGGTGTTTATAGTATTCTCTGATGGTAGTTTGTATTTCTGTGGGATCGGTGGTGATATCCCTTTTATCATTTTTTATTGCGTCTATTTGATTCTCCTCTCTTTCTTCTTTATGAGTCTGGCTAGTGGTCTATTTATTTTGTTGATCTTTTCAAAAAACCAGCTCCTGGATTCATTGATTTTTTTTTTTTTTTAAACAGAGTCTTGCTCTGTCGCCCAGGTTGGAGTGCAGTTGCACGATCCTGGCTCACTGCAAGCTCTGCCTCCCGGGTGCACGCCATTCTCCTGCCTCAGGCTCCCGAGTAGCTGGGACTACAGGTGCCTGCCACCATGCCCGGCTAATTTTTTTGTATTTTTAGTAGAGATGGGGTTTCACTGAGGCCAAGGCGGCGGATCACGAGGTCAGGAGACTCATTGATTTTTTGAAAGGTTTTTCGTGTCTCTATCTCCTTCAGTTCTGCTCTGATCTTAGTTATTTCTTGTCCTCTGCTAGCTTTTGAATTTGTTTGCTCTTGCTTCTCTAGTTCTTTTAATTGTGATGTTAGGGTGTCAATTTTAGATCTTTCCTGCTTTATCTTGTGGGCATTTAGTGCTATAAATTTCCCTCTACACACTGCTATAAATGTATCCCAGAGGTTTTGGTACGTTGTGTATTTTTCTCATTGGTTTCAAAGAACATCTTTATTTCTGCCTTCATTTTGTTATCTTCCCAGTAGTCATTCAGGAGCAGGTTGTTCAGTTTCCATGTAGTTGTGTGGTTTAGAGTGAGTTCCTTAATCCTGAGTTCTAGTTTGATTGCACTGTGGTCTGAGAGTCTTTGTTATGATTTCCATTCTTTGGCATTTGCTGAGGAGTGTTGTATTCCAATTATGTGGTCAATTTTGGAATAAGTGCAATGTGGTGCTGAGAAGAATATACATTCTGTTGATTTGGGGTGGAGAGTTCTGCAGATGTCTATTAGGTCCACTTGGTGCAGGGCTGAGTTCAACTCCTGGATATCCTTGTTAACTTTCTGTCTCGTTGATCTGTCTAATGTTGACAGTGGGGTGTTAAAGTCTCCCATTATTATTGTGTGGGAGTCTAAGTCTCTTTGTAGGTCTCTAAGGACTTGCTTTATGAATCTGGGTGTTCCTGTATTGGGTGCATATATATTTAGGGTAGTTAGCTCTTGTTGTTGCACTGATCTCTTTACCATTATGTAATACCCTTCTTTGACTCTTTTGATCTTTTTTGTTGGTTTAAAGTCTGTTTTATCAGAGACTAGGATTGCAACCCTACTTTTTTTTGCTTTCCATTTGCTTGGTAAATCTTCCTCCAACCCTTTATTTTGAGCCTATGTGTAACTTTGCATGTGAGATGGGTCTCCTGAATACAGCACAGTGATGGGTCTTGACTCTTTATCCAATTTGCCAGTCTGTGTCTTTTAATTGGGGCATTTAGCCCGTTTACATTTAAGGTTAATAGTGTTATGTGTGAATTTGTTATTATGATGCTAGCTGGTTATTTAGCCCATTAGTTGATGCAGTTTCTTCACAGCATAGATGGTCTTTACAATTTGTTATGTTTTTGCAGTGGTTGGTACCAGTTGTTCCTTTCCATGCTTAGTGCTTCCTTCAGGAGCTCTTGTAAGGCAGGCCTGGTGGTGACAAAATCTCTCAGCATTTGCTTGTCTGTAAAGTATTTTATTTCTCCTTCGCTTATGAAGCTTAGTTTGCCTGGATATGAAATTCTGTGATGAAAATTCTTTTCTTTAAGAATGTTGAATATTGGCCCCCACTCTATTCTGGCTTGTAGGGTTTCTGCCTAGAGATCTGCTGTCAGTCTGATGGGCTTCCCTTTGTGGGTAACCCGACCTTTCTCTCTGGCTGCCCTTAATATTTTTTCCTTCATTTCAACCTTGGTGAATCTGACGATTATATGTCTTGGGGTTGCTCTTCTCGAGGATTATCTTTGTAGTGTTCTCTGTATTTCCTGAATTTGAATGTTGGCCTGCCTTGCTAGGTTGGGGAAGTTCTCCTGCTAATATCCTGAAGAGTGTTTTCCAACTTTTTCCATCCTCCCCATCACTTTCAGGTACACTAACCAAATGTAGATTTGGTCTTTTCACATAGTCCCATATTTCTTGGAGGCTTTGTTCATTTCTTTTCACTCTTTTTTCTCTAATCTTGTCTTCTCGCTTTATTTCATTGAGTTGATCTTCAATCTCTGATATCCTTTCTTCTGCTTGATTGATTTGGCTATTGATACTTGTGTATGCTTCACGAAGTTCTCATGCTGTATTTTTCAGCTCCATCAGGTCATTTATGTTCTTCTCTAAGATGGTTATTCTAGTCAGCAATTCGTCTAACCTTTTTTCCAGGTTCTTAGCTTCCTTGCATTGGGTTAGAACATGCTCTTTTAGCTTGGAGGAGTTTGTTATTACCCATCTTCTGAAGCCTACTTCTGTCAATTTGTCAAACTCATTCTTTGTCCAGTTTCGTTCCTTTGCTGGTAAGGAGTTGTGATCCTTTGGAGGAGAAGAGGCGTGCTCGTTTTTTTTTCAGCCTTTTTGCACTGGTTTCTTCCCATTTTTGTGGATTTATCTACCTTTGGTCTTTGATGTTGATGATGATACTATTCCTTTCTTAGTTTTCCTTCTAACAGGCAGAACCCTCTGCTGCAGGTCTGCTGGAGTTTGCTGGAGGTCCACTCCAGACCCTGTTTGCCAGAGTATCACCAGCAGAGGCTGCGGAACAACAAAGATTGCTGCGTGTTCCTACCTCTGGAAGCTTTGTCCCAGAGGGGCACCTGCCAGATGCCAGCCAGAGAGGACACAAACAAACGGAAAAACATTCCATGCTCATCGATAGGAAGAATCAATATCGTGAAAATGGCCGTACTGCCCAAAGCAATTTATAGATTCAATGCTATCCCCATCAAACTACCACTGACTTTCTTCACAGAATTAGAAAAAACTACTTTAAATTTCATATGAAACCAGAAAAGAGCCCGCATAACCACGACAATCCTAAGCAAAAAGAACAAAGCTGGAGGAATCACACTACCTGACTTCAAACTATACAAGGCTACAGTAACCAAAACAGCATGGTACTGGTACCAAAACAGATACATAGACCAATGGAACAGAACAGAGGCCTCAGAAATAACACCACACATCTACAACCATCTGATCTTTGACAAACCTGACAAAAACAAGCAATGGGGAAAGGATTCCCTATTTAATAAATGGTACTGGCAAAACTGGCTAGCCATATGCAGAAAACTGAAACTGGACCCTTTCCTTACACCTTATACAATAATTAACTCAAGATAGATTAAAGACTTAAACATAAGACCTAAAACCATAAAAACCCTAGAAAGAAACCTAGGCAATACCATTCAGGACATAGGCATGGGGAAAGACTTCATGACTGAAACACCAAAAGCAATGACAACAAATGCCAAAATTGACAAATGGGATCTAATTAAACTAAAGAGCTTCTGCATAGCAAAAGAAACTACCATCGGAGTGAACAGGCAACCTACAGAATGGGAGAAAATTTTTGCAATCTACCCATCTGACAAAGGGCTAATAACCAGAACCTACAAAGAACTTAAATTTACAAGAAAAACACAAACAACCCCATTAAAAAGTAGATGAAGGATATGAACAGACACTTCTCAAAAGAAGACAACAAACATATAAAGAAAAGCTCATTATCACTGGTCATTACAGAAATGCAAATCAAAACCACAATGAGATACCATCTCACGCCAGTAAGAATGGCGATCATTAAAAAGTCAGGAAAGAAAAGATGCTGGAGAGAATGTGGAGAAATAGGAACACTTTTACACTGTTGGTGGGAGTGTAAATTAGTTCAACCATTGTGGAAGACAGTGTGGCGATTCCTCAAGGATCTAGAACTAGAAATACCATTTGACCCAGCCATCCCATTACTGGGTATATACCCAAAGGATTACAAATCATTCTGCTATAAAGACACATGCACACGTATGTTTACTGCAGCACTGTTCACAACAGCAAAGACTTGGAACCAATCCAAATGCCCATCAATGATAGACTGGATAAAGAAAATGTGGCACATATACACCACAGAATACTATGCTGACATAGAAAAGGATAAGTTCCCGTCCTTTGCAGGGACATGGATGAAGCTGGAAACCATCATTTTCAGCAAACACAAGAACAGAAAACCAAACACCACATGTTCTCACTCATAAGTGGGAGATGAACCATAAGAACACATGTACACAGGGAGAGGACCATCACGCATCGGTGCCTGTCGGGGGGTGGGGGCTGAGGTAAGGGATAGCATTAGGAAAAATACCTAAGGTAGATGATGCGTTGATGGGTGCAGCAAACCACCATGGCACATGGACACCTATGTAACAAACCTGCATGTTCTACACATGTACCCCAGAACTTAAAGTATAATTAAAAAATTTGGAAAACATATACAGGGCCAGGCCCGATGGCTCACGCCTATAATCTCAGCACTTTCGAAAGCAGGAGTGGGAAGATAGCTTGAGCCCAGGATTTCAAGGCTACAGTGTACTATAATCATGTCACTGCATGCCAGCCTGAGCGACAGAGCAAGACTCTGTCCAAAAAAAAAAAAAAAAAAAAAAAGCAAAAGCACAGGTGTTTATGGGAAATTTTTAAAACCATCAATGATTCTATCATTCAGAGACAATCACAGTTAACATCTGGTGGTTTTACTTCTACCACTTTTCCTATGCATGTAGAAAACAAATATATTTAACATAACTGAGATCATATAAGCTGTATCAAACCTGTTCTTTTCCATAGTATCCCTAATTATTTCTGTATCAGTAAAAACTCTTTTTTTTTTTTTTTTTTTTTTTTTGAGATGGAGTCTTGCTCTGTCGCTCAGGCTGGAGTGCAATGGCACAATTTTGGCTCACGCAACCTCCGTCTCCCAGGTTCAAGCGATTCTCCTGCTTCAGCCTCCCCAGTAGCTGGGATTACAGGCGTGCGCCACTACACCCAGCTAATTTTTGTATTTTTAGTAGAGATGGGGTTTCACCATGTTCGTCAGGCTGGTCTCGAACTCCTGACCTCATGATCCGCCCACGTAGGCCTCCCAAAGTGCTGGGATTACAGGTGTGAGCCACTGTGCCTGGCCTATTTTTGATGGCTCTATATGCAATAGTAACTATTACACAAACTATTAAAACATATCATGTATTTTTAGTATGATACACTTAATTCTTTTTGAATCTTAATGTTTTCAGAGTATTACAGATGAACAAACTGTGTGTCTAAGGTTACAGATCTAATAAATGATTGAATTGGGCTTTAAAACCAAGGTCTTTTCAGTATGCTTTGATGCCCCTCATAATATTTAAGTCACTGTATTAAGTGACTGGTTATTTAATGTTTTCCAGTTTTAACACTGAGGTTATTTCTGTTATTTCACTATTATAAATAACATTAACAAATATTTTCATATCAACATCTTTTCCCACATCACTGCTTATTTAAGATAAGGAATCTCTAGAAGTGTCCAGTCAAAGAGATGAATATTTTTAGGGCCCTTGATAAAGATTACCAAGCTGCCTTTCACTAGGGTTGGGCCAAATGCTGCTATCACCAAGCAGCATACGAAAGTGCCTTCATCCTATCTTTGTCATCATAAAAGTATGTTCATTTTCTTTATTTTGCTAATTGGAGTGTTCAAAATAGTAGACTGCATTTTAACGCAAGTAACAGTAAACATTTCTCCATATAAATATATTGGGTATTTTAATTTCTTCTTCTTTAAGTTTATTGTCCACATCTAGAAAAAGATTTATGTTTGGAAAAAATGACCTGTCTATAAGCGATTTTACTGGCAATGGTCCCTCGGCAAAGAACTTCTCCTGTTGACTTTTAATGAAGGGATAAAGGTTTTTATTACATCTATGTAAGTGTCTAAGAGAGAGATGAGTCTTTTTTCTGGACTTGCAAATAAGTAACTCTCCAAATCAGTTTTTAAAAGTACCCCTTTGAATTCTCTTTGCTCTCACCCTCCACTGATTTCCAAATAATGACATTACTCTTCACAGTGCTCTTTAGCAACAACTTTACCTTTATGACATCTTAAATGTGTTATATACCATAATCTACTCTCAAAGCCAAAGTATCTTTCAGTTCTACAAGTTTCTTGTTGGACATCCTACTGATACCTCAAACTCAGAAGATCTAAAACTGAATTTATCATTTTCCTGGTCAAACCCTCTCTTCTGCCATCAACCTTTCCTTCCCTTTTCTGCTCTAACCAGCTTATTCTGTAATATTTGGTGATATCTCTCTAACCTCATATATCTAAATTGACTATCAAATGCTATGTATTCCATTTCTTTTTTTTTTTTTTTAGATGGAGTTTCGGTCTTGTTGTCCAAGCTGGAGTGCAATGGCGTGATCTCGGCTCACTACAACCTCCATCTCCCAGGCTCAAGCGATTCTGCTGTGCCTCGGCCACCCGAGTAGCTGGGATTATGGGCACGTGCCACCACACCCGGCTAATTTTTTGTATTTTTATTTTATTTTATTTATTTATTTAGAGACGGAGTATCACTCTGTTGCCCAGGCTGGAGTGCAGTGGCACAATCTCGGCTCACTGCAAGCTCTGCCTCCCGGGTTCATGCCATTCTCCTGCCTCAGCCTCCCAAGAAGCTGGGACTACAGGCGCCCACCACTACGACTGGCTAATTTTTTGTATTTCTAGTAGAGACAGTGTTTCACCGTGTTAGCCAGGATGGTCTCCTGACCTCGTGATCCACCTGCCTCAGCCTCCCAAAGTGCTGGGATTACAGGCGTGAGCCACCGCGCCCAGCCCATTTTTTGTATTTTTAATGGAGACGGAGTTTCCCCATGTTGGCCAGGCTGGTCTCGAACTCCTAACCTCAGTGATCCGCCCACCTTAGCCTAACAAAGTGCTGGGATTACAGGTGTGAGCCACTGCGCCCAGCCTCCACTTCTTTAAATACCTATCAAACTGGTCCCCATCCTTACCCTACCCCAATCCATCATCTGGATCTCCACAACTCTCATTATTTTTCACTTATATTACTGCATAACCAAGTCCCAGAAGTTCAGGTAACCCTCTACCAAGCCATCCTGCAAATTTCAAGCAAAGGGGTATATCTAAAATAAAATACTGATTAAGGTATTCTCTACCTCAAAGCCTTTCTATCACTTCCCAGGGCCACTAAAATAAAGCTTCGTAACTCATAAGCACAACAGTGCAGCAGTCAAGTATCTAGGTTCTAGAGACGAGCAGATGTGAACTCAATCTTTACTGAACAATTACTAGCTCTGTGACTTTGAAAATTTACTGAGGCCTCAGTTTCCTCATCTACACAAGAGATGATAATATTAATACTAGTATTGCGTCACAGGGTTATTGTAAGAATTGATGAGAAAAGGCATGCAAACTGCATAGCGCAAGGCCCGGTGCAGACTGAAAATATAACAAATGTTTCTCTCTCTCTCTCGATATATCTATCAAGATACAGATATATCTATAGACAGATCTGGATATACACATATCGATTGATATATCTATATACAGATAGGTATATCGAGAGAAAGAGAGAAAGAGAGAGAGAGAGAGAGAGACAGAGAGACAGAGAGACAGACAGAGACAGGATCTCACTCTGTTACCCAGGCTGGAATGCAGTGGCACAATCACAGCTTACTGCAACCTCAACCTCTTCCTGGGCTCAAGTGATCCTCCCACCTCAGCCTCCCAAGTAGCTGGGACTACAGGTGCGTGTCAGCACACCCAGCTAATTTTTTTTTGTATATATGGGGGTCTCTCTATGTTGCCCTGGCTCAAGCAATCCTCCTGCCTCGGCTTCCCCAAAGTGTGGGGATTACATGTGTGAGCCACCAGGCCTGGCCATATTTTTATTAAAATGATCTGACCTATTCTTGTACCTTCACATCTTGCTCATCTCTCATCCCCTCAAACAAATATATACTTCCTCTCTCACTTTACACTCACCCTATTTGAGTTTATCATAGTTTTTTTCTGCAAATAACTTGATAATGACATCACTTGTCTCATAAACCATGCCATGAGCTCCTTAGGGACAGATTCCATATTTTATTAATTTTTGTAATCCCAGCACTTAGCATGGCTTCTTATACATAGTTTCTCAACAAAGGCTTGTTGAGTTGTATTTAAAACACATTACTACCTTTACTACTCATTACTGAAAGGGTGCATTCCTTTTACCACTGTCACCAAGAGCCATATTTTGCTGGCCTATTTAATATCGGTTTTATACTTTATATATTTATCAGCATATACTCTAAATTTATGTTCATGAGGGAGCCGCATTCGATGGGAAAGTTACTTCAGTATAAAAGAAAGTCATTTATCCACACATTCAATTAGTTTCTCTTATTTGGACAGAAGAGACATTTCAGTTAATTATTACGGATTGAACATTTCTATTGTTTTAAACAGCTATTCACAGGCAACCTGGACTAGACTTGTTTCCAAAACATCACTGAATAGTTATGAAAAATCATAAAATCCCACTAATACTTCTTAACTTTAATTCATAGAGATCTCTAAATTTTACCATTCAGTTTCTCAACTGCTCAACGCTTAATAATAGATATCAAAATCTTGCAAATCTCAACTATTAATTCAATGGTGGTTTATTATAATCTAAAATAATTGCTGTCCACATGTTTGTATCTTGGCATAACAGCTAAAATCACCCCTATATTTTCCTTTATTAAAGTTACTGAATTAATTGTTGCTTGGTTTCACAATGGTAATGACCTAAAATCATAAATTATGAACAAGGGTAATATGAATAGAACACAGCTTTATATTATTCCTTTATATAGGTATTGCCTTTTTACATCTCTGGTGAGATAGTTATTGAGTTTAAAGGAAATATTAAGAAAACAAAAACACGTATTTTGAAAACTACATTGCAGAACTGATGTTTCTGAAGCTAATATAATTCAATCTGTTTTAGGTCAGATATTAAAAATATTATTGTTTGACAATTCCTTAAGTTACAAATAAAAATATGTGTGAACTGTATACGGTTTCATATCTAAATTAGCCAGGGTCTAATAATGCCAAAAACTAAAAAACATTTTTTTGTAAAATGAAATTTAGATATTCATACTCAGTTTATGAATATTCATTGATATCTGATTTACATGAATACATCACTGCTTACCACAGAATTTATCTCAATTCCTTCAGATCATACTCAGTTTATGAATACTCATTGGTATCTGATTTACATTAACACATCACTGCTTACTACAGAACATATCTCAATTCCTTCTGATCGTTTATTTCAATCCACATAATCATGTAAAGTACTTCCCAAGCTTTAAAGTCACATATTAGGTGTTATAATATCCCCATGTGGAACTACTACTGACATGTTCTACAAGGAGACAAAACCGGCAATGGAAGGTTAAGGGACTTTGTAATGCTATAAAGTCAGTCAGTAGAGAGCTGAAAACAGAAATGTCAGAAATGAAATCTCTGGCTCAATTCATCCTCTCACCATAACATCACAATCTCCTCGTTCCATTCTGCAATAAAACTTTGATATCCTACTACAGACAATCTTTGTAAAGTGCTACAATAGCTAAACAGATAGCTTCTATAACCTATAGCCACCCTTGAGAGATCAAATTCCAGAAAAATGAAATAATAGCACCCTTGCATTCTCTGTATTGAAAACAAAAATTGTAGTTAAGCAAAACTTTCCATTGCCAAGATTTAAAATGCTCATTTTCTCTACTGCATTATTTTCAAAGATTGAAAAATAATTACCCATTTGTATTACTGGTTATTTCACAAGGAAATGTCATTATAAAATCCAGTTTGGTGTTCTAGTTCAGCACAATTAATATAATTAGTACATTCATGATACTAGTTTTTGACCCAGTGATTTTTTTCAGATATATTATACATTTAAACTTACCCTTCAGGAGTCGTTTTAATTTTGCACAATCCACATTGATATACTGTAACAATTCTATATCATGAACATCAACATTGTCTTCTGAACAAACAGTTAATTCCTGTAACCTAAAAAGTAAAAACCAAAATTAACTTATCAAATTAAGTATTAGGGGACAGGTGTGGTATCTCACACCTGTAATCCCAGCACTTCAGGAGGCCAAGGCAGGAGGACCACTTGAGGCCAGGAGTTCAAGACCAGCCTGGGCAACATAGCAAGACATCATCTCTAAAAAAAATACAAAAATTAGCTGGGCATGATGGCACACACCTATAGGCCCAGCTACTCAGGAGGCTAAGGGAGGAGGATCTCTTGAGCCTAGAAGTTTGAAGCTGCAATGAGCTGTGATCACACCACTGTACTTCAGCCTGAGTAACAGAGTGGGCCCTATCTCTTAAAAAAAACAAAAACAAAAAAAGTCTTCGGGTATCCCTAAATTCTGAATTCAACAGATTCTTCCCCCAAAGATGAGTTCATAAGAGTAAAGACATATATAAAAATAAGGCAATAAATATTTCTTATAAAAACCTAAAGGAACATAACAAACAAGGGATATGATAAAAGAAACCATGATAATTCAGTAAACGTAGCATCGTAGCATCCTTATCCTTAAGATTGAGGTGTCTAAATATTGCCGACTTTCGGCCAGGGTTCTTTGGGAAAATTAGTTAATTCCAGGATGGGGGCAAGAGATATACAAGGTGAGGGCAGGTCACCTTGGGCTTGAAAACAGGAAACTATCAACAACTATCAGAACCATGTCAAATATCACACAGGTATGCACTTTAGGCATCTCAACTGTCAAAAATGGGATAATCTGAGGATCAAAAGAATTATGTCTACAATGGAAACACATACAATAAATTAAAACACACAAGCCTGTTATAATATTGAAAGAAAAAACTTCATGGGTAACCTTTCGCAACTGTTAGGGTACCAACTCATTCTGATAACGAATAATGGAAGTCAAGTCTGTATCCTGCATTCCCTACATGGACTGTATTGCAAGATAACTAAACACACAATGAAGCAAAAATCTTTCATAGAAGTCACAATTTTAAAATAAAGAATGAATGACAGAATAGAAAACGTTTCATTTTGCAGCCCCCAATGAAGTGGAATCCAGGCAGTGATCATCAGTGATTACTAAAAACATTAGGAAAAATTTATGGGAAACTGTATAATGAATACATAATGCTGATAACATCGAAATCCAATCACTGATCATAACATTAAAAGTCAATAATAGGACATGTTTCCTGATGTGATTCATTAGGAACCACATAGCATCATCAGTAAAGTATTCTTGTCCCCCCCCAGCCAAATGAACGTGAATCCAATGAAACCCAAATACAGAATGTAGAAAGGCAAATAACGCAGTCCAACAAATAAACAGCATGGGAAAAAATGGAGAGCAAGGTGAAGAAATGAAGAAATGATACTGATTAACAGAGGCTCAGGAGAAATATCAACCAATTCCAAAGTACGCATCCTATTTGTATCTTAATTTGAACAAAACAAAAAAGCCATTTCTGAGATAATGAAAAAACCCACAAATTTGGCAATGCATGATATTAAGGAATTATGATTCTTGATAGGTATGACAATATTATAGTTAAATGCTTAAAAATCTATTTATTAGAGATATATACTGAAATATTTACAGGTGAAATGATGTCTGGGGTTTGCTTTAAATTACTGAAAAGGGAAGAAGAGAAACCATAGCATGCCAGAAACAGTTAAAGCAGAGTAAGAGATGCATGGGGATTTGAAGTACTATTCTATGTGTATTTTTCCATTTTTCCACAATGAATAGTTTTAAAAATTCATATTTCCAATTACAAGTAAAAGTATAATTTGAATTAAGACTAAAACTATAATAAGTAAACTTGATTTTACTAACTTCTACTTTTATCAACTAGATTTTTGAAACACGAATGAAACTTTATATTCACAGGGTACATTTACTTTGTATTTGAAAACCGAGTAAGCCTTTTTTCATTGCACTTTTCACAGTTTGTACATGTATTTATGTAATTATTTGCTTAATATCCCTACTTCACAGAACATAAGCTTATAAGGACAGGAATATCTGTTTAAACCCCAGCTTCTCCTATGTTGAATATGAAGTTATCACAAACGTAGAAACATTTAACACTTAACAAATATGTAGATATTTTTAAACTGATAAAAGAAATTCACTTAGCCTAAATGTTAATAAAAGGCATTAAACTTTTCTTCCATTTTACACCAACAACCACAGCACTCAGATTTTCAAAAGTTGGTATTGCTAATCTATTAAATCATGCTACCTAATGAGGCATACTCATTATTCATATTAATAGACATAAAAAATATAAGCAGCACAATTAAATTGTAAACTTTTATAAATGCAGCAATAGAGATATGGTGAAAAGGCACAAATACTATATGGTCTTATAATTTATATGTATTAACTTGAATTTCAATCATTTAGTGCAATTTGCAAAGGAGTTATTAATCATCACACTAAACCTTCAGTTGATAAGAATGTAATCAATCCTATTCTTCCTTCTCAAATTCTCGTTTCACTCACTTTAGCTTTAATTAGACTACAGCTAACAGTACAACTATTCTAAGCACTTACATGAACTCTCTTCCTATCATCAGGGTAAGAAAAGCTCAGCATTTCAAGCTGGGAATGAGGTTGTCCTCAATGCTAAAAATTCCACAGCTGCTGCAAAGAGCGTAGAAATATGGAGTACGGCTCCTCAGAAAACACAACATCATAGATCAGCAATACCAACTTCTGAAAAGTTGACTCTTGTGGTTGTTTGTGAAAAATGGGAGAAAAATTTTGTCCCTTTTATAGTCTGGTACCCTTATAGAGAGCAGGTATTTTGTGAAGGTTAAACATCATTTCCGAAGCAGAGAAATCAAATAAAGCGTAGTCTGAGCAAAAGAAATGAACAGTAGAAAACCTATCACTAAAACAGCTAGAAAGTCTAGGCATACTGAAAGATATTTTAAATGTATAGGTCCAGAAAAGAAGAAGAAAACTGAAAACCAGAGAGTTAAGTGCACAAGTACATGACCCAGCCCTGCAACAAAGGAAAGATGAGTGAGGTTTTTGATCTCCTTAACCTAGGAGCTTGGGGCTTAACATCCACATGGAGACTGGATATAAACGCCTTGTACCCTAATAATTCAGGATTCTAACTTGGGCCCTGCATAAAACATGAACTAGAAAGAACAATGCACTCCCCCTGCCGCCCCCACTCCCCACAAAAAGAAAAAAAGAAAAAAACCTACCAGCACAAAGAAGCTTAACTGCTCTGCCTAAACTTTGGATAAAGTGAAAAAAGTCACCTAGAGCTGTTTACCTTCTAAGAGTTTAGGGTTCAAATTTATACTGCCCATACAGGCTGGGACTGAGAAATTAAGAAAAAAATAGCTCCAGAACTGGGCACCTGGCAAATGCAAATGCAAAACCATCACTAGAACACTCCCTCAGCCCAAGGCTACAAGGATTCTCAAAGAAAATACAGGCCACACTAAAGATAACTTTGCAATCAAGGATTCCAAAACTGAGATGAAACAATTCACTATGAATGAATCAGCACAAACAAATCAATATTAAACAATACTAAAGAGAACGTAAAATACGTTTTAAATGATCAGAGACATATAAAAAAACTGAAAACTATTTTTAAAAAAAGAGTAAGAAACCATAACGAACAGATTTGTATGGAACCAAATAGTAAACTGTAAAGAACCAAATGACTTTTAAAGTCATTGAGTTTTCTGCTTCTGGTGGTATATCAAATGAGATATTCTGAAGCACCTTCTCACTACAAAACAACTAGATCAACTGCATTTGTGGAGTAATTCTGTGGAGAAAGCAGTTACTCCGCTACATAAATACTATAAGCCACAGAAAATGGTATACTCCCAGAGAAAAATAAAGCTATCTTAAGATTTATAGCCAGCCAGGCATGGTAGCTCACATCCTGTAATCCCAACACTTTGGGAGGCCAAGGCAGGAGGATCCCTTGAGCCCAGGGGTTCAAGACAAGCCTGGGCAACATGGCAAGACCCCGTCTCTACAAAAAAATTAAAGAAACTAGCCGGGCATGGTGGCACGTGCCTGTAGTCCCAGCTACTCAAGAGGCTGAGGTGGGAGGATCTCTTGAGCCCAGGAGGTCGAGGCTGCAGTGAGACATGTTCACATCACTGCACTCCAGACTAGGTGACAGAGAGAGACTGTGTCTCAAAAACATAAAATAAATAAATCTATAGCCTATCTTCCCCTAAAGAAAAGTAAAGGTCAGAAATATAAAAACCAAATCTTAATCTTAAAGGAGAAACATTGACGGGGAGAATGGACAAACACGAAACATCTTCATGATACTGATTCATCTATTATATATAAAACATAAGATCAATCTTTAGAAAGAACTACCATTCAAGCCACACACATATTTTAAGTCACCTAATACTATGACGATGACAGCATAAGATGTTCCAACCTAAACTAAACCATCATAATGGTCTTTTAGGTGAGTGATCCTTCAGTAAGATCAGCTCCTATTTCTGACACAAGCTAAATGGAACTGAAAATGCAGTTGTCTGAAACAATGTTATTTCACAGATGCCATTTCTGAGTGGTCTGTCCTCTGAAAGCTAATAAAATTTTAGACACTTGGTTTCTATTCTGGCAACAGTGAACTAGATTCAGGAAATAAACAAAAGTTGCTTATTTTTACATGTGCTAATGCTGCAAAATCCCATAAAGTAAAACCTTTGGTGACTAGAAATTTTCTAGAATTTTCCAAGGTGGCACATTTGTTGTGTTCTATAAGGCAGTTCATGCATTGATAGACTACAAGACATTTGGGTTTTTTTGTACCACTTTCTACCTTTAATTTAACAGGTGTTTCAAATAGTAAGGCCGGCCTAGCAGTCACCTAAATGAAAAGGGTTTGCGTTTTTTATTAAATACAATTTTCCACCCTCCTACTCTCTAGGTGTTTGTTACCTTGCTGACTCAACCACTGTATTATTATTCATAATATAAAACGTTACTGCTCAAAAGATTTCATGAAAACATTTTTCTATCATGTAAATATTACCCAAGATTATCAATAATATACCATTAAATAAAACTTTAATTTTCTTTGGATCAAGAATTGCATTGAGGTTGAAAAATATTGCTGCCTAGGATCTTAATTATAGAAATGTCATTGTTGATTAAAAAGATTGCAGGACTCTGAAGTTAATCAATTCCCCCAAAAAACCGTAACACAAATTCTCAAATGGTGATGTATGTTGTCTTTCACACCTGCTGGAAAACAACAAAGGAATCAGTAAATCTGAATAATCAAAGTCCACTGTTCGTACAACACTGACGAGCCAAAGATGCAGGCACCAACAAAGAGGATTGTTTTTCTCTATTCGGTATTAGTCTTCGATTCACGAATCACTAAATAATTTGTGCTATAGTTTCTAATTAAGTTAATAACCCATCTGACTTTACTTGCCTTAGAAAGGCAAATCATGTGCATAACAACAATTTGCAGCTACTTGCTACTGTCACTTATAATTCTATCCCATAGAGCACTACCTATACTAATTTCTCCACCTGTAGGTAGCATATCACAACTAATGCTCAGGATGATTTTGAGTCATCAATAAAAGCTTAAATTATATTTTTGATACATCTTTAAAAACAGAAGTATATTTTATAAAACAGATTTCATCAAAATGTGGCTAAAATAGATAGGGAAGCAATCTGGTATAGTGAAACTAATATAAATTCTGAAGCCAGCCTGACTTAGAAATTTTGGGTCCTCCATTATTTGGCACATCACCTGAACTTTTTTGAGTATTAGTTTGCTCACCTGTAAAATGAGGGAAGTATCATCAAGGTTACTGTGAGGATGAGACAGCAAAGGAAATGCTATAAATACTCAATAAATGGCAGTATTTTACATACATTTAAAATGTAGTCCACTTTCTGGAGAATTCTACTTTGCAATTATTCACCTCCTTGTGTTTTCACATCACTTAGGTTTTTTTGTTTTTGTTTTTGTTTTGTTTTTTGGTAACCTAAAATCTTGTGATAAAGGGTAGAGTTGTGAAAGTATTTGAATTCTGACTACTCTCATTAATTATTCCATCTAATTGGGTAGTTTCATTTAAAGGGATAATATGTTTAAAAAGCCAAACCAAAAGTTCATACCTAGTATTGTTTTTTAAAGCCTGCTCACGGCAGATATTTTTATCTGAAATTTAGACTTTCACATTCATAACAGTGCTCTTATTTAATTGCACATATCAATATCACAATATTACGCAATTAAAATGTCAAAGATATTAATGCATAAAATTTCTACGCAAGCCCAGACAAACTCATTTCTCTGGAGGCTGAGGTAGGAGGATCACCTAAGCCTGGGAGGTCAAAGCTGCTGTGAGGGGCAAAAGAACTTGTCTCAAAAACAAAAAAACCTCATTTCCATTAACTTTTTATTTTTATGTAGACAAAAAACAAAACTTCTAATATTCATATTACTTCAGTAGTCCCATGTGGATTTACACACTAACCTGGTAGAAATGCGACTAAAGACTGCATTGAAGTTGTTGCAGCTGAGAGAAAATAAAACCCCAGAGGCAGAATTCCGAAGTTCAGCTGCATGCTGGTTTCCTTCACGACAGGTGTGAAGAAAATGGCAGATTTCTGGCAGCAACTGTTTGACCAGCATCGTTTCATCTAATCTCATTGTGTCCTTTGGTTGCTAAAATAGAAATAATCACATTATTCTAAACTTTAATTTTACCTGTAAACATTTTCTATTATGAAAATTTTCAAACACACACACAGAACAAAAATAATGAACACCTTACATACACACCACCTAGATTTAACAACTGTTAACGTTTCATCATATTTGCTACATCTGTCTATAGATAGTTTAATAAAGAGGATGGTTCCATCTCTGACCCCATAATCACAATTAAAGTTCAATCCCCCTGCCATCCTTACCAGTCCTCCCATTCCTGCTTGCTCTCTTGTTCACCAAACGAGCCCTTCCCTGGGAATCCCCAGTTTGCTGTGAGTTCTACAATTACAGAATCGACTTAATTCATATTGATTGATGAGTGCATTGTGTCATCTGTCTTGACATTTAAGTAAATTCCTGGGTGAGCCATCACACTTGCTTTTGTGCAGACTGACCAAAACAGACACTACCTACTCAAAGTAATTTTATTTTGGTTGAAATCTTTTCAAAGTAAATTATAAATAGAATACTTCACCCCATGTGCCTTGGCATCTCTTAAAAGAATTTTCTCTAATGTAACTTCAATACAATTAACACACCAAGGAAAAATAAACAATTCCCTTGTATCATCTAATACCAAGTCTGAATTCAAATTTCACCACTGCCCCCAAAATGTCTTTCATAGGCATTTTTATTCAATAAGGATCCAAAAAAGTTCACCGATTACAACATGATGTTTCCTTAGTTTCACTATTCTATGCAAGGGCGCAATCTCAGCTCACTGCAACTTCCACCTCCAGGGTTAAAGCAATTCTCCTGCCTCAGCCTCCCTAATAGCTGGGATTACAGGCGCCCGCCACCATGCCCAGCTAATTTTTGTATTTTTAGTAGAGACGGGGTTTTGCCATGTTGGCTAGGCTGGTCTCGAACTCCTGACCTCAAGTGATCCGCCCTCCTCGGCCTCCCAAAGTGCTGGGATTACAGGCGTGAGCCACTACGCCTGGCCCATATTCACCACTCTTATTTCCCATGACTTTAAGTGGGCCAGCTGCCTTACAGAATGTTCCATATCCTTGATTTAATTATTTTCCAGTGACATAGGTTGATTTGCTCTTCTAGTTACTGTATTGTATATTTTCGTTCTTTTTTTTTTTTTTTTTTTTTTGAGATGGAGTCTCGCTCTGTGGCCCAGGCTGGAGTGCAGTGGCGCAATCTTGGCTCACTCCAACCTCTGCCTCCTGGTTTCAAGTGGTTCTCCTGCCTCAGCCTCCCAAGTAGCTGGGACTACAGACATGTGCCACCACATCTGGCTAATTTTTGTATTTTTAGCAGATATGGGGTTTTGCCATGTTGGCCAGGCTGGTCTTGGATTCCTGACCTCAAGCTCTCCGCCTGTCTCGATCTCCCAAAGTGCTGGGATTCCAGGCGTGAGCCATGGTGCCCGGCCTGTATATTTTCTGTAAGCTAAAATTTAAACCTAATGGTCTGATTAGATTGAGGTTAAACAGTTTAGGGGATTCACTATAGGTTATATTACATCACACCATGAGAACATAAGGCCAGGTGGTCCTGTTATTGACACCAAGTTTGATAACTTCGGTGTTAACAGTGAAATCTCTACTTTGTAAATATATACTTTACAATTAACACACAATCAATGGATAAGCTATCCTGTAGGTATGCTGTTCCACATTACTATTTCACCTAACAGTCTTGATAACTACATGCGGATAAGAATTTTAATAACACTGAGCAAGATGGCAAAGAACAAAAATGTGTACAATTGTATGCTACGCTCAATTCTGTAACTGCAATCCAAGCACTCTCAGATGCAAATACACTGAAACATAGGGACAGTACATAAACAGACTTCACAAAAACCTGTGAATTCACATTACAATGCCTATTTCTTGTTTATAGGCTAACCAAACAATACAGATGTTAACTCTAACAAATAAAAATCTAAGAAGTATTAAATCTTTTAAATAATAGTCATATTCACAGGAACAAAAATACTTAAGATTCCTCAAATTCTACAAAATTGCACTCATAACATATTGGTAAGTATTTTTCTTTCACTTAAATATTCCAACTATGTATAACAAACGTATACTTGTGAGCTCCGTTCTTCTTAAACTGCCTCAATTTACTTTGATTTAAAAGTAAGAATCAAGAAACATCTGTAAAATCACTGAAGGAAATAAAACAATTGTTCAATAATATAAATAGCATTACTTTTTAAATAGTAAATTTAATGAAAAAGCATACACATTTTTCAACAGTAGAGCACGGCAAGATAATATACATTTTATGCATTACATAAGTTATACTAGGCCCACTTATTAGCATTTCAATTAGGCTATCTTCAAAGAGTATTAAATCAAACAGAGGCCAATAATATCGGTAATCATTCTCCAAAATACATTCATTATTACCTCTCAATTACAAATGTTAATGGAGAAAAGCTGTGAAACTGAACAAGGCAATATATGACCCCACGCCCCACCATTCAGTCATGGGTGTGGCTGATATACTGGTAATTTGCAGTCAAAGTAATAAGACCACTGGAAAAAACTGATTCAAGAAAAGTTTAAAATTTGCCCATCTTCCCAGTTCCATCATCCTATGTAACAGCTCTTTTGCTCTTTCACTCCATTTTACACATGAACAATAGCATATCACAAGTTAACGGAAAATACCATGCTAAAACAACTAGCTCACCTTCGATTTTAAGTAGAAAACTTATAAACACTGTCTCCACAATTTTGGAATATGGTCAACGGTCAATAAGAAAATTTAAAATATTATGCTTAGGGCAGGCACAGTGGTTCACATCTGTAATCCCAGGAGTTTGGGAGGCTAAAATGGGCGGATCACTTGAGGATAGGAGTTCAAAACTAGCCTGACCAACATAGTGAACCCCCATGGCTTATGAAAATACAAAAAAAATAGCTGAGCATGGTGGTACATGCCTGTAATCCCAGCTACTTGGGAGGCTGAGGCATGAGAATAGCTTGAACCCGGGAAGTGGAGGTTGCAATGAGCCGAGAGGGTGCCACTGCACTTCAGCCTGTGCCGCAGAGTGAGACTCTGTCTCAAAAGAAAAATATATATACATATTATGCTTACATTTTTTCGCTTACAGCCTTCCCTAGGGATACACAGTTGTGTCAATATAATTTTTTTTTCAATGCCCTACCCCAATGCTTCCACCAACACTTCTCAACCACACTATCAGTCCTCATATATTAAGGTCTCTTTCAACTAGTTTCACTATAGAGAACTGCAACATATGTGAAGAGGGAAGCAATTCTGAATCAAAACAAAATTCTGAATTCTGAGCCAAAGGAAGAGAGAACATAAGAAATGAGTTAATTTCAATACACATGGATTAGGCAGATCATTAAAACAGAGGTATTTAATTTATATATTTATATAAACTCTTACCATGTTCCAGGAAGAATTAAGGATAATGATGTATAGAAATACTTTCTTTACACAATAGAAATACTCTTGAAAAAGTTCAAATTAAGTCATGGTTGAAATACACTGTGGTAACAACTTACAGGAAACCAGAGAAATAATTGTTTGGTACTCTCCTCCTCCACATACCTATCGCATATTTGTGTGTCTACATAAAACAAGTGTTCTCAAGGTAACATCTATCCTTAATAGGTTTAATTTTTAAGTTCTCATTTACATAAATTTCAAAAGTAGAATATTAAAATCATATTCATATAGGAGGAAATACAAGATTACTCTTGGACTTCTGAATCGCACTCTCCCACAACTCTCTGAGAGATCCGTTAAATCAAATAGTGATCTCTTCATAAAATATTTTCCTAAAAACCTGAGAGACAGATACGTGGCTGAAACATAACATTTTATAAGTAAACTTAATATCTGTTTAATTTACAAAAGATGAGAAAATTTTCTCATGAAAAATTGTCTGTCACCAGGTCAGCTATATTAACAAAACTCATATTTATATGTCTCAGACAAAAGTCCATAGGACTGTCCTCTTGGTCCACATCTGTACTTTGGGACATAAGATCATTCTCAAGATCAAATTCACAAAGCCTGCCTACTTAAGATCAATTTACTTACCCCAGCAAGACATTTTTCCAGTGTATCCAATATAATCAACTGAGAGAGATATAAATTTTTTTCAGCAGCTTCTCCAAATATTCTCTAACAGAAAAGATATTCAGAACATAAAAGTTAGTTTCACTTTCTGCTACCAATCAACACACATCTGAAAAGTGAAAGACTAAAAGATCAACAATAGTCTTCCATTTTACCTCCCAGATTATACTATACTTAAATATATTATTTCTGATTTTATCCTAATCCTCATAAAAACTAAAGTCTAAGGCAAACAGAAATGGCATTTATTAGAGTCTGCCATTAACCTTGTAACAGTAAAAGATGCTGTTTTGCTTCATGCTTTAAAAATATGTAGGATTTAGACACACATATAGACCTGTACCAGAATCTTGAATTGGGGATTTAACTATACTTTTATGCCACGAAATGATCAAAGTCTTAATTTTTATAGCAAAAACATGCTATAGCACCACAGTGAATTTTAAGTACTCACTATCCTCAAAATGAATACTACATATGTATTTATTAACAAGAGACTATGGTTTTGAAAACTTATTTAATAAGCACTAAATGAACGCCAATATAACAATGCTGTTTTGTTTTGAAAAGAGGGTCCCAAATATTAAAATATTTCAATATAACTGGGAACACAGCCACATATTCATATGTGCAAATACTAAACTGTGCCCCACACACTGCAACAGAGGAGCTACAAAAAATGTTAAATGTCTTTCCGTAAATCTCTTTACCTATTTATAAATGGTCCTGCTTTTGGGGGGAAAATACTAATTTTTTCCATAAAGAAGGTAAATGATTTTCTACACCTCCAGTTTATTAGTTTTGTAAGTTTAGGGTATTGTGTAAGCAACTTTCTTAAAAGGAAACACACCAAGGATGATGCGAACAAAAAGTTAAACACCACATGCTCTCACTCATATGTGGAAGCTAAAAAGAGTAAAAAGTAGAAGAGAGGACACTAGAGGTAAGAAGGGTCGGGTAGGGAGAATCGGGGTGGGTAGAGATTTGTTAAAGGATACAGAAATATAGCTTTATAGGAAGAATAAGACTTAGTGTTCTGTACTACTGTAGAATGACTATGTTAACATTATATAGTTAACTTTTTTTTTTTGAGACGGAGTCTCACTCTGTCACCCAGGCTGGAGTGCAGTGGCGCATCCTGGCTCACTACAAGCTCCGCCTCCCGGGTTCACGCCATTCTCCTGTCTCAGCCTCCTGAGTAGCTGGGACTACAGGCACATGCCGCCACACCCCGCTAAGTTTTTTTTTTTTTTTTTTTTAGTAGAGACGGGGTTTCACCATGTTAGACAGGATGGTCTTGATCTCCTGACCTCGTGATCCGCCCGTCTTGGCCTCCCAAAGTGCTGGGATTACAGGCGTGAGCCACCATGCCTGGCCTACAGTTAACATTATATAGTTTCAAATAACAAGAGAATATTCAATATTCCCAACACAAAGAAATGATAAATATTGAGATGATGGATATGCTAATTACCCTAGTGGGATCACTATGTATTATATGTATTGAAACATCAATATGTACCCATAAACATGTACAATTATTGTATGCCAGTTAAAAATAAAATAGAACAAGAGAAAAATTATCTAAAATATGGGAATAAGGCAAAAAGGTAACTTCATGTCTTTTCAATGTCATACTAGAATATTATCTAATAAACCTAAGGACCATCTCAAAAAAAAGGAAGGGGGAACAATCTTCACAATCTATAACCAGAAGTTGTTTCACAACTCAATACAAACAAATACAAACTGGGATTATAAATGCAGGCTGGGCGCGGTGGCTCACACCTGTAATCTCAGCACTTTGGGAGGCCGAGGCAGGCGGATCACCTAATGTCAGGAGTTTGAGACCAGCCTGGCCAAAATAGTGAAACCTCGTCTCTACTAAAAATACAAAAAAATTAGCCGAGCATGGTGGCACATGCCTGTAATTCCAGCTACTGGGGAGCCTGAGGCAGCAAAATCACTTGAACTGGGAAGGGGGAGGTTACAGTAAGCCGAGATTGCGCCACTGCACTCCAGCCTGGGTGACAGAATGAGACCCTGTCATTCATTCATTCATTCATTTATTCATTCATAAATAAATAAATAAATGCTAAACACCAGCAGAGAGTTCAGAGTTAATCAAGAAAAATCCAGATCAGTTGCCATGAACTGAGTATGTTAGTTTGAAACAGCTTAGAATGGAGATGTTAAATAGGAATTTAGAGAGAGGAAGGGATCACTTGAGAAAGACAAAAGATGTTATATGTTCAAAGGTACAGAGGGAGGACAGCTGGAGTACTCTGAAGTCTAGGAAACGTCAATCGATTTTAGAAAATGGGAAGAAGAAAGAAATTATGAGCTTTTAACAGTGGAATTATTTGATGAAACTGGTATTTGAGAAAAACTGTTTCAACAACAGGGTAACTACTACAGAATCTGTCACAGGTTACAGAAGGAAGAAAAAACACATATCTTCATAAAAAAATCAATCCACATTTTAGGACTATGAGATCATATTTTATCATCTACTTAGGGCTGGGACAACCGTAAGTAAATTCAAACAAGATGCTAAAGAAAAATATGTGTAATGGATTACTGTGGTCAATTCGTGTAGGCCACAAAAGCTCTATGAAATCCTAATTCAAGAAACATACTGGAAAAGGAGACATGGTCACAAAAGATAGGAGATGTTTCTAAGGGAAATAATAAATTAAAATGAAAGTTACAGTTACTTGTGCTCACTGAATCTAAAACCCAGCTGATTAAAAATTTGACAAAATAAAATTAAAAGGTTATCTGTGCTCGTAAACAAAATAAGATTAATGGTTATATCCAAAGTCCACAGAAAATCACTTTCCATACTTCAAAATATGCTGTTCTAAACTTTTTAATCAAAAAGAAAAGAAAGCAAATTCCCCAAAACACAGTAACCCAAATACTCACCATATTGTTAACATTCTTTAAAATAGTAGTGAGGCCGCTTATAACCAAAGAAAACTTGTATTTGGAAATATTGATTAGACATTCCTTGTTGTGCTCAGTACTGACTTTGGTATGTGTGTTCTGCTGTCCTGTTTTTATTGGAAGCTGAAAAAAAAAGAAAAAAAAAACACGTTAACAGCTTATCCTTAAAAACGACCATAAATAACTTACTTGCCATTGAAAATCATGACGTTTTAGGAAAACTGCATCAACCACAGATACCTATACTTGCATCTCAAACTCCGATTTTCAATCAACCTCCAATATATGATACACAGATATGTACATTTGCATCTCAAACACCAATATATGATAGCATTTATTATAGCAAATCTTAAATTCTTTGGAAACTTCCATTTTTGCAGCTTTCTTTCTGGAAGTCATAAATCTCTATCTACAAAATAGAATTCTTTATCCAGCACTATATAAGAAGAAATGATGACTCACAGAAACAGAGCTATTTGCTTGTGGCTAAAAATTATTTCAGAGAATGTCTGCAATAAAATGCATACAACCGTTTCCCTTATCCATTGAACTCAAACATTAAAAGAAAAACAGATCAAGAAAATCTATGCCCTAGACTTCTTGTCAATAATGGCAAACAACTGCTGATTGTTCAGAAGCAAGAACAAACTATAAAACCTGGGGAAAAAACAGTAAGACTCACTCAGTAAGATAAGCACCCTCAGCTACACAATTGAAGGGATAACAGAACACAAGCAGACAAATCCCATGAGAAAAAATATTCTATGAGAAGACCACATTTACATTTCTCTGTGAATGAGTTAAGTTCCACTGTCTAGAAGTTCATCTCTACTCTGCTCAAAAATAGCATTCTGTATTTAAAGCATCATGGACATACTTACTGTTAATATTAAACCCTGCTAATGCTAACAGAGAAACCTAGCAATGTTCCTCTGTGAAAAAAACAAACCTGAATATAACTTTCTCATTTTTAACATAGTACAACTAAAGGTGGAAAGAGACCGAGGGGCATGCCCAAGTTTGCTAAATCAGTTAATAATGGACGATTATTTTGATAGTAAAGAAATACTAAATAGGCTGGGCACGGTGGCTCATCCCAGCACTTTCGGAGGCCAAGTCAGGCAGACCACGAGGTCAGGAGATTGAGACCAACCTGGCCAACATGGTGAACCCAGACTCTACTAAAAATACAAAAATTAGCTGGGTGTAGTGCCACGTGCCTGTAATCCAAGCTACTCGGGAGGCTGAGGCAGGAGAATGGCATGAACCCAGGAGGCAGAGATTGCAGTGAGCCGAGATTACGCCACTGCACTCCAGCCTGGCGATCGGGCGAGACTCCATCTCAAATAAAAAAAAAAAAAAAAAAAAAAGGAAATACTAAATGAAATTGGCGGGGTGGGGCAGCATTTTTAGAGTGTAAAGGAGGGGGCAGAACAGAAACTACAGAACTTCGTAATGTTAATTATAAAGATTATGGAGGAAAAAAACCTGAAAGGCCAAAAATGGGACTTTTGTTTACGAGCACAGATAACCTTTTTAATTTTATTTTGCCAAATTTTTAATCAGCTGGGTTTTAGATTCAGTGAGCACAAGTCACTGTAACTTTCATTTTAATTTATTATTTCCCTTAGAAACATCTCCTATTCTTTGTGACCATATCTCCTTTTCCAGTATGTTTCTTGAACTAGGGTTTCATAAAATGCAGCTGGTGAATCTCCCTAAGTATCCCATAAAAATCAGAGAAATGGCCAGGTGCGGTGGCTCACATTTGTAATCCCAGAACTTTGGGAGACCAAGGCAGGTGGATCACTTGAGGTCAAAAGTTCAAGACCAGCCTGGCCAACATGGTGAAACCCTGTCTCTACTAAAAATACAAAAAGTTAGCCGAGCGTGGTGGCACATGCCTGTAATCCCAGCTACTAGGGAGGCTGAGGCACGAGAATGGCTTGAACAGCAGGTGGAGGCTGCAGTGAGCTGAGATCGCACCACTGCACTCCAGCCTAGGCAACAGAGACTCTGTCTCAAAAAAAAAAAAAAAAAAAAAAAAAATCAAAGAAACTAGAACTTCTCTAGTAAAAACACAAACTGATGAATATCTACATGAAAATGAAGGGACAAGGTCCCTCATTCCCAAACCCAGAGAAGTGAACAAATAGAAACAAACCATTTATAGTTACAAAACTGGTTGGGGACATGCGCAATGGCTCATGCCTGTAATCCCAGCACTTTGAGAGGCTGAGGCAGGAGGACTGCTTGAGTCCAGGAGTTCAAGACCAGCCTGGGCAACAGAGTGAGACCTCATCTTTACTTTAAAAAAAAAAAAAAAAAATCTAGGCTTGGTAGTGTGTGCCTGTAATCCAGCTACTCAAGAGGCTGAGGCAGGAGGACTGCTTGAGCCCAGAAAGTTGCTGTGATCTAGCCACTGCACTCCAGCCTGGGCAACAGAGCGAGATCCTGTGTCTGGAAAACAAAAAACAAAAATACTAATGTGGTATAAGCATCTATGCAAGAGAAAGCAGGTGGAAGGAGAATGTCTAATGGATCTGACAAGAGGAGATTCCCAATGTACTGCATCCTTAATAAAAAGCACAGCAGCCCAATTTAGGAATATTAGCCAAAACAGAGGGTAGTTATGCTCATTGCAATTTGCAGATGAATGAAAAAGGCCTATGATAAAAGTCTCAAGAGAATGGAGCACACTCAAAAGCATCACTGTCTAATAGGATTTGCTGTGGTAATGATAGTGCTCTACATGGGCAATGCCCAATACAACAGCCACTAGTCGTCACATGTAGCTATTAACCACTTGTAACATAGCTGGTATAGACAAGAAATCAAAAGTTTAAAGTTTATTTAAGTTATTATTAAATAAAGTTTATTTAAATTTAGCTTTAAGTAGCCACACATGTAATTATTAGATCTGACTGGACAGCACAGTTCTAGCCCACACTGAGAAGAAACTGCTGAGAATGAACTCCAAACTGAAAACAGGGGTAAAGGGAGAAAAGGAAAAAGGTCCAAATAAAAATGAAAAAGAGAGAGATGAACAAGAGATCTCTGAAAGAATGAGACCATTTTTTTTTTATTTCATGAAAGTAAAAAAAGAATAAGCTCTAGAGACATAAAGCTACAAAGCTATCCTGGCCTACAAATCCCTCCTACCAATTCAGAAAAATTAATTTCACATAAAAATAAGCCAACAGAAAAGTTCTATGGTCAAATAATATGTAAAGTTATTATTAAGAAAAAGGAGTAAGAAACAGAAAAACATAAAAATAAGGGTCTAAACAACAGAAAATCAAAGTTTCCAAAAAGACATATCCACCAACAGATGAAAACTGTAAATTATTATTTCAAAGTGAGCCAAGAGAAATTAAGAAAATGACAAAAGATGTGGAATAACACAAATAAGAATTACAGATAGAAATAAGTTGACAGAACTCAAGAAAGAATTAGAAGATAAATCATTTCAGAAATGAAAACTAACCAGAAGATACATAAGAGTAAATTAACACAGAAGATAATGCTTTAAGAGTAAACAAATGTTGAAAAAAAAGGGGGGACTAAGGAGGAAAGTTGTAATATAAAAAAGAAATTACATACGAGATAATAAAAATTTACAATAAAGTGACAAAAAAAGATAGAAAAAGAAGATTCAACATACATATAACAGGAGTCACCAAAGAAAGAAACCAAACCAATGGAATAAAGTGGATATTAGAAACTAGAATTCAAGAAAACTTTGCTGAAATTATTATTGAAATTTTTAAAAACTTGAAACTGTATCTTTAATGTGCATACCACACACCTGGAAAAGTGACCCAGAATGACCAATACCTTAACATATTTTGAACTTCCGTGAACAAGAAAAAAAAAATCTTTTGAACTTACAGGCAGAAAGAGGACATTATTTATACAAAAAAAACCCAAAAATTAGACTCTCATCAGACTTTGACAAAATTTTATGTCAGAAAACAATAAAGTAAAATAAATTTAAGATATTTAAAGAAAACATAAACCACACAGGAAGGGGAACATCACACACCGGGGCCTGTCGTGGGGTAGGGGGAGGGGGGAGGAATAGCATTAGGAGATATACCTAATGTAAATGACGAGTTAATGGGTGCAGCACACCAACATGGCACATGTATACATATGTAACAAACCTGCACATTGTGCACATGTACCCTAGAACTTAAAGTATAATTAAAAAAAGAAGAAAACATAAACCAAGGATTTTATATCTAGCCAAACTGAATTCAAATACAGTCAGCCCTCTGAATCCATGAGTTCTCCATCTATGCATTCAACAAACTGCAGATCAAAAAATAAATTTTAGTATGTCTGTACTGAACAGGTACAGACTTTTCGTCATTATTCCCTAAATAATAGTGTATAACAACTATTTATATAGTATTACATTGTATTAAGTATTATCAGTAATCAAGGGATGATTTAAAGTACACAGGAGGATGTGTGTAGGCTATATGCAAATACCACACCATTTCATATCAGGGACTTGAGCATCTACAGATTTCACCGTCCATGGAGGTTCCTGGAACCAATGTCCCAGATACTGAGAGACAATTTTATAGCAATGACAAACTGTGCTAAACGGCAAGAACCCTGGAAATTTTGTTCCCTTTTCCTTTTCCTGGAGGATATACTAGAGAATATGCTTCAGATGACCAGAATAATTGGAAAGACATCCACATTAATAGGAATCATTAAATATATTTAGTGATGGGGTATGTTCTGAGAAATGTGTCCTTACATGATTCCACTGTCATGTGAACATCACAGAGTGTACTTATACAATCCTAGATAGTATAGCCTGCCACACCTCTAGGCTATATGGTATACAGGGTACAAAACTGTACAGCATGTTATTGTACTGAATACTCTTGGCAACTTGAACACATGGTGTTTGTGTATCTAAACATAGAAAAGGTAATGATACCATATTATAATACTGAGGGACTCCCATTACATATGCAGTCCATCACTGACCAAAATGTCATTATGTGGAGCATCACTGTATTTTTATTTATTTATTTATTTTTTTTTTGAGACAGAGCCTTGCTCTGTCACCCAGGCTGGAGTGCAGTGGCGTAATCTCAGCTCACCATAACCTCTGCTTCCAAGGTTGAAGCGATTCCCCTGCCTCAGCCTCCCTAGTAGCTGGGATTAAAGGCATGCACCACCATTGCCTGGCTAATTTTTTTGTATTTTTAGTAGAGACGGGGTTTCACCATGTTGGTCAGGCTGGTCTTGAACTCCTGACCTCAGGTAATCCACCCACCTCGGCCTCCCAAAGTGCTGGGATTACAGGCGTGAGCCACCGTGCCCAGCCGGAGCATCACTGTGTTTTCTAAAAGAACTGAGAATGGTGGCAATAAGGGAGAAAGTATATTAGGTGACTGCTTTATGTACTTGATAATATAGATACAATACAATTATCAAAATGAGGAGAGGGAGGGTGGTGAGAGCATATAAATAGTAGAATATGTTTCTTGATTGTCTTGTTATTAACTGAGAGTAAAATGCTAGGGAAAAAGGAGATGAGGAAAGGAGGTTTCTAGTTCATTTCAATATTGCTCAGAGTAAAAAACCAACACATAATACCCCTCCACCCCAAAAGAGAAGGAAATTAGAATACCATATAAAGGTATTAATATAATGGTAACCACCAGAACAAAAACACAAATTGTACTGGTGGTGCGTGGTGTGTTAACTGTTAAGCTGGGAACTACTTTCCCAGATCCCACTCACTATATGGTTCTGGTTAGAGTTGGTCTAAAGGGTAATTTGTACAGGCTGTCTATCCCTAATTGAAAAATCTGAAACCTACAACACTCTAAAATCCAAACTTGTTGATCAACAACATGACTCTCAAAGGAAATGCTCATTTCAGATTAGGGATGATCACGGTGAGTAAAAGGCAAATATTCTAGAACCCAAAAATATGTGAAATCCAAAACACTTCTGGTCCCAAGCATTTCAGATACGGGATACTCGACCTGTATAAAATTTGTTTGAAATGTGGAAGCGAAGCAGCAGCTATTATTCTGAAGGTTTCACAGTAACATACAATGAGAGACAGATACAGAGGCACCCAGAAAGTTCCAGCTTTTACTCTCTCTCTCTTTCACTCCATGTCCAGCTCTTTCTTTGGACCAGTGGTCACTTTGCTGACCAATACTAGCCCAAACCTACCACCAGATGCTTGGGTGCAAACCTACAGGGCTTTGTAAGACAAACCTTACATGGCAAGAGCTTCCCACAGTGCCCTCCTCAAGCTCCTCCTTCATAATCTCACTTCAGTGGCTGGATATATTTGACTTCTCAGATTTCCCCAACAGCTCCAACTTATCTACCCATTGTCATTGATTTGGACGATCTGGTTAGTGGACTCCTCTGATCCTCCAATTCCCCATTCCAGATACTCACCTCACTTAGTCCCCTCAAAACTGTATACAATCTAATTTCTACAATAAATTCCTTATCATTACACAGTATGAACGCTGGTCTGAATAAATCTTTCTAAATACAAAAATATATGCTGAGGCCAAGGCAGGCAATCGAGACCAGCCTGGCCAACATGCTGAAACTCCATCTCTACTAAAATACAAAAAAATTAGTTGACCATGGTGGCGCGTGCCTATAATCCCAGCTACTTGGGAGGCTGAGGCATGATAATTGCTTCAACCCAGGGGGCAGAGGCTGCAGTGAGCTAAGCCCCACTGCACTCCAGCCTGGGCAACAGAGCAAGACTCTGTCTCAAAAAATGTGTGTGTGTGTGTGTGTGTGTATGTGTGTGTGTGTACATGTATATAAGTGTATATATTTATATATGCTGAAAGAGCAAATAACATGAACACAGTGACACTTAAATAAAAGACATGTATAAAATGTAACGTAAAACCAAAAAATGAATCCAAATTCATTAAATGATAGAATAATCTCCAGGACACATCTTAAGTTAAAAAAAAAACAAGATGGAGAAAATATACACAGTATGTTCCATTCATCTAAGAAGAGGGAGGAGATAGAAATATATGTTTCTTATATTAAGAAACAAAACAAAACAGTAGAAGAATGAAATGCTCAAAAAAATTAGTGGTTGCCTTTAGGAAATGAAAAGAAAGTAGAAGTGAAAAGGATAGAATCCATATTCTATATGGAATACATATTGTTTTTGTAGATTTCATTTTAGAACTACGTAACTTACATAAACATAAAATTAAAATTTTAAGAAGTCTAGAAATCAAAAATAAACAAATCAACTGAAAACTGTATCTAATTCTTTAATGGTATAAATGTATCTAATTATTTAATGGTATAAAGAGAGGAACTAAATAATTCTGTGGTATTTTAATTCTATGACTCCTAGTGCCTCTAAAAACCCAAGACTTTCAGCATGGGAAATAAAAGTAATGGTAAAGTAAAGAAATGTAGTCTTGAATTTGAAATAGAAGTATCTATATGAAGTCAAGATATTTTATTTTGTACTTTAAAAAACATATTTCTATTTCTGTCCAATGAAAATGCCTAGAAACAATGACCAATCCCATAGTAATGACTAATGACCAATCCCATAGTAATCCTCACTCAGTTGTAATCTTGAACGACCATTTCCCAGTAAAAGGAATCTGGACTCCTTTAGGAAATGGCTGCTTCTATGTCTGGAGGAAAAAAAAAAAAAAAAGACATAATGACCCCGGAACATCTTGTCATACCAGATAGCAGCACTGACTAATAACGGTCAAGCCAAAAATGGTTAGGAATGAATTTTAAAGAGGCCCCCACTGGCCAAAAGTGTAATAATTTGAACACTTAAGGATGGCAATTTATTGAAACATATTAAATATATTTAAATCCATACTACTGTTTCCATGTAGGATAGAATAATTTACTGCAAAACAATAGCTCCCACCACAAACTTAATTTCTAACAAAAGATGAAATATAAAAATCACCTGTTTGAAGAATTCAGAGAGCTACTGAAGGAATAGGGATTAGCAACACTAAGATTCCAAAAAGAGTGAGCTATAATGAGGTAAGGGGATCTTCTGCAGCTGCTTTTCCCCTGGGGCATTTGCAGATTCTGGTCAGGAAAACAGATTGAGAAATAAGGCTTTTTTCCCAGGCAATGTACCTCTAATGGAAGAAGAAACCATCAGAGATTCTGGTGTTCACTGAGGGCTAGATTGGCAAAACTGAAGACGTGAGGGAATCTCAAATGCCTCAGTGAGTGGAAGAGGGTAAAAAGGCTAAACTAAAAACTTCTGAAAAGCAAAGCAGAATTTGAAAGCCTTGCAGCTTCGAGAGGACAAAAGAGTTCAGAATCTGCTAGTGGAGACCTTAGTAAATACAGTTCTCAGTGATAAGCCCTCGAAGGCTGTGTCTTCTACAAACAGGAGCAAATTACAGCAACTGGAAATCTTAGGAGCTACTAGTAGGCATGTAACTCAGTACTTACCTTGGAAACTGGCATTATCTGCTAAAACTGAACACACACACACACATTCAGCAATTTCACTAGATATATACCCAACAGAAATGTATATATGTTCACCAAAAGACATGCACAACAATGTTTTACAGCAGCATGTTTTATAATTCCCAACAACTGGAACAATCCAAATGTTAATAGCAGAAATGGTTTTTAAAAACTGGTATAGTCATACCATGAAAAAATATACAGCAAGAGAATGACTTACAATTGTGAGCTTAATTTCACAAATACAATACTGACAGACAGAAGTCAGAACAAGACATATTGTATGATGTTACATAAATTTCAAAACCATGCTAAATTCAACCCATGATTTTAGAAGTCAGGATAGATCCCTGGAAAACAGTGACTGAAAGGAAACACGAGGAGGACTCCTAGATTCACAGTATTGTTTTATTTCTTGATCTGGATACTGGTTACACTGGTGTGTTTACTTTGTGAACATTTAACTGAGCTGTATATTTACAATTTGTGCCCTTTTCTATACACATAATTTAACAGAAAGTTTGCTAAATATATGTTTAAATCCATGAATGAATAATGATAATAAAAAACAAAAACAAATTGGCCATTTGGTGGATACAGAGAAATCGTGGTAGACACTGAGGTGCTACCCAGTTCCTCCTTCAAAAAAGGACTTACCTTAAATGCTGGGAGTGCTGTCAGTCAGCCCCTTCAGGGATTGCCTCACCTACAAGGAACAACCCTGTTCAAGGTCATATCCTTCCCAAGATAACCCACATCAAATGACTAATTGATATGGCAATATGAAGGCCTGGACACATCAGCCACCGCAATTCTGGGCAACTCAGAAGAGCCATTCTTGTCCCAGGCTCCCATTCTCGCTCCAGGCTCCCCGTGGGGGTTGGCCAAAGCTGGTGCTGGGCCTGCACTGCATTTGCCCAGTGCTCCTCACTCCCAGATGTTGATTTCAAAGAAAAAAGATAAAAACAAAAAAGCTGATTAACTTCCAATTGAAAACTAAGTTTGAAAGCCAGAGAACCTCTCTGAAAACACAGAGATTCTCCTCTCCTGCAGCAGGAGGGCAGAGAAACCTAAGGACCAAAACCAGCACTTGATTATCGCCCATTTATTACACTTATATATCTCAGAGATATACAGATTGGATGGATGGATGGATGGATGGATGGATGGATGGATGGATGGATGGATGGACAGACAGATTAGATATCTAAATCTGTATGTGTTGGGCTTCAAAGGTTGAACTCCCAAAGGCAGCAGGTCTCCTACGTCCAGATCAGGGGCCTGGCTAGGAAAGAACAAGACTCTGACACATGGAATGGAAACATCTGGGTTGGCGCTCCCAAAAATCTTGTCTCCCCAGATTCCTGAACCGTCTGCCAACAACCAATGAGCCTGGAAGAGAACCCCAAGCCTCAGATAAGACTGAGGCCCCAACCAAAACCTTGATTTCAGGCTGATGAGAACCTGAGCAGAGAACACAGCTAAGCAATGCCTTGACTCCGACCCACAGAAATTGTAAGATAGTAATTTTGTGTGTTTTAGGCTACTGTTTGTGGTAGTTTGTTACACAGCAATAGAAAACTAGAACAACTACCAAACCTGAATCTGTAATGGAAACTTCTCTCCTGAGCTTCAGATGTGTTATCCAAATGTCCATTTGGTTTCTCCACATGGATAACTTGTAGGCACTTCAAACTCAACATTTCCAAAGCTTAATTCATAATCTTCCTACCATGTTTCCTGTCTTGGTAAATAGTACCACAATCTACCCAGTTTCCCATGTCGGACATCTGAGAATCTTCATGATACTTCTTTTGTTCCCTTTACTTCATCTCCCTTTAGTCAGAAGAATTTTTAAAATATATTTTGGCCTCCACCTTTACTCATTTCTCAACTTGCTCAGAAGCCAGGCAGGGAAGGAAGAAAAGTGGTACTTAGGCCCCCCAGGCTCCTACTAACAGCACCAAATTCTATGAAAAGGAAAAAAAAATCAAGATTAAGGAGTTCTAAGTAACCAAGAATTTATCAGATAAGGTGTTCAGGGGAAGCTCTCTGAAGATGTGACATTTGAGCAGAGACCTAAATGAAGTAAAAAAATGGGAAGACCAGCCATGGGATTAGTGGTTCACACCTCTAATCCCAGCACTTTGGGAGGCTGAGGCGGGCGGATCACATGAGGTCAGGAATTTGAGACCAGCCTGGCCAAATGGGGAAACCTCGTGAAACCCAAAAATACAAAAATTAGCCAGGCATGGTGGTACATGCGTGCAGTCCCAGCTACTCAGGAGGCTGAGGTGGGAGAATTGCTTGAACCCGGGAGGCGGAGGTTGCATTGAGCCCAGATCGTGCCACTGCACTCCAGTCTGGGCAACAGAGTGAGACCCTGTCTCAAAATGAATGAATGAATGAGAACGGGAAGACCCATGCAAAGATCTAAAGAAGAGCATTCACGGCAGTAGTTGCAAGTAAAATGGATCTGATGTTGGGTGTGGCATGTTCAAAGCCTAGCAAGAGGGCCAATGTGGTTAACCCAAAGGGAACGAAGAGGAAAATCTAGGGGATGCGGTCAGAGATTCAAGAAGCAGGAGTCAGATCATGAAAAGCCTTATAGGCCATTTTAAGAACTCTGAATTTATTTTGAATTTGACGATGTCACGGATTATATTTTCCAACTGTCAAGTATCTCTCATCCCACATGCTTTCCCGCAATAAGATTTTGCCACTCCCTCATTAGGAAAAGAAATTTATTTTTCTACCTCCTTTCATCTAGCAGGTCCAGTGACTATTCTGACCAATAAAATACGGCTTAAAGGCACACTGTGTAGTTCCAGGCCATAGTCCTTAATTGGTCTGACAGTTTTTATTTCCCTCTTCCTAGAAGCCAGTTGTCATGTAAAAAATGGGACTACTCTGAGATCAGCATGCTGTGAGAAGCCGAGGCCACATGCAGAGATTCTGAAGAATGGGACGCCATTGTGGAGAGAGAGGCCAAGAAACACTGAGGAGCCAGACATGTGACTGAAGAAGCCATAATGGAAGGGATTCTCCAGTGTCAGCAACACAATATGGAACAGAAGAACTGCCCAGCTGAACCTGTCATGAATTCCTGACCCCCAAAAATTGTGAGCACAATAAAATGGTTGTTTTTAGGCTACAAGGCTTTGGAGTAGCTTATTATACAGCAATAGATAACCAAAAGACAGGGGAAAAAGGCACTGAACGAATTTAAGCAAAGGAATGACATAATCTGATTTATGTTTTAAAAAGAACCCTCTTGTTGCTGTATGTTAGAAAACAGTCTTACTCAAGAGAGGATGGTAGCTTAAGTTAAGCTAATATGAATAGAAGAGAAAGTAGTGAGATGTTATAATAGATTTAGAAGGGGGGTGCTTATTTAAAATGGTAAGCTGATTCTGAAGTTAATTTGGAAGAATAAACTTGTGAGAATACCAAAGAAATTTTTGAAAAACAAGAACAAGGCCAGGCGCAGTGGCTCAAGCCTGTAATCCCAGCACTTTGGGAGGCCGAGGCGGGCGGATCACGAGGTCAGGAGATCAAGATCATCCTGACTAATACGGTGAAACCCTGTCTCTACTAAAAATACAACAAAAATTAGCTGGGCGTCGTGGCAGGCGCCTGTAGTCCCAGCTACTTGGGAGGCTGAGGCGGGAGAATGGCATGAACCCAGGAGGCAGAGCTTGCAGTGAGCCGAGACTGCGCCACTGCACTCCAGCCTGGGCAACAGAGCGAGTCTCTGTCTCAAAAAACAAAACAAAAAAAAGAAAAGAAAAGAAAAACAAGAACAAGAGACATGACCAAGTACTGAAATATACTGTTAAGCTCTTACAGCACAATCTGTACAAGTACAAATTAATTGCAATCACAGAAAAGATATTCATATTCACACACAAATTTAATATAATAAAGGTGGTATTTCAAATCAATGGTAAAGAATGGATTAGTCAATACAATTATGCCACATCAAAAAGAAAAGACTAATTCATACTAAATTTTAAAATATATGGGTGCTGCCAGGTGTGGTGGCTCATGCCTGTAAAACCAGCACTTTGGGGAGGCTGAGGAAGGATGACCACTTGAGCCCAGGAGTTTCAGACCAGCCTGGGCAACAAAGTGAGACCCTGTTTCTACAAAAAAAACATTTAAAAATTAGCTGGGGGTGGTGGTATGCACCTGTAGTCCCAGCTACTTGGGAGGCTGAGGTGGGAGGATATCTTGAGCCCAGGAGGTTGAGGCTGCAGTGAGCCATAATTGCGCCACAGCACTCCAGCTTGGGTGATAGAACAAGACCCGTCTCAAAGAGTGTGTGTGTCCGTGTGTGTGTGTGAGTGTGTGTGTGTGATTTAAAAAAAACAAAGCCATAAAGCTATTAGGACAAATACTAAAGAATAATTTAATAATATTGGAGTAATAAAGATTTTCCTAAGCAAGACAAACATACAGCACCTATAATAAAAACACTGATATTTGCTTACAAGAAAATGTATAAATTCTATAACAAAAAGACACTGCTAATAAAGAAACAAACGGGAGGTAAAAGAATGCACATACAATTAGCTACCAAAAAGTTTACATAACTAACAGATCAGGTTGTCTTGCCTATTAATAAGAATATTTATTGGAAAAACTTCAAGAAACAAGGGGCAATTCAAAGGTAAGTGATCAGTAAATAACATAAAAATATGACCATCTCATTAATAATTTTTTTTTTTTTTTGAGACAGAGTCTCGCTCTATCGCCCAGGCTGGAGTACAGTGGCGCGATCTCGGTTCACTGCAAGCTCCGCCTCCCGGGTTCATGCCATTCTCCTGCCTCAGCCTCCCGAGTAGCTGGGACTACAGGCGCCTGCCACCACACCCGGTTAATTTTTTGTATTTTTAGTAGAGACAGGGTTTCACTGTGTTACCCAGGATGGTCTCGAACTCCTGACCTCGTGATCTGCCCACCTTGGCCTCCCAAAGTGCTGGGATTACAGGCATGAGCCACAGTGCCCGGCCTCATTTCCGGCCTCATTAATAATTTTTAAAGTGCAAAATGAAATTAGACCACATTTGTAACCATATTTTTCACAAAAAAAGTAATACTGAAACACATATAAGAAAATAATTATGCCTAGAATGAGGAGGAAAAAACCTTGAGCAAAATTTAAAATATGAGGTCATTGTATTTGAGAGGTAAGAATAAGGTGATTTTTTAAAATTTTTACTTTTATGAGTTTCTCTTCTTTTCAGTTAGATACATTACTTTCACACAATTGAGGAAAAACACTTTTTAAAAACATTTCTTGCTATATTATAGAAATCTTTGGGTATAATGGAAGAAATGTAAAGCTAAACTGCATGAAGAAATATAATCACCTTTTAATTATGATCTCTATTAACAAACTATCAGCAACTTAAGATGTAAGATTTCAACAAACAAGAGGATTTAGCAAAAGAAGGCATAACATTAAGCAAAGCACTCTGTGAACAATGGTTAATTTGTTTCTAGTTTCACTTAGAAAATTCTTCAAAAGGTCACAGGCTAAAATTTTTGCCTCTGTGTACATTCTACTCATTTTCTAAAAGGCCCCTTAGACCATAATGGGGGTAGGGTTTACATTAAAATTCACCTAAGTTTTCACCTAAATGAGAGAAAAAACAAAGAAAATAACCATGCTAGAGGGGAAGTACCCAATACATCAGCTCTAGACACCAGGTAACAAACATAAACCAGGAAGAAGCCCACAAGAAACGGAATTAAGTCCTCCTCCCAACAATCATGGGAGTGAACTTGGAAGTACATCATCCCCTGCCCCAGTAAAGCTTTCAGATGATATAGCCCCAGCCAACAGCTTGACTGCAACCTCAAGAGACCGTGCTCCAGAGGCATCCAGCTAAGGTACCCCTATCTTCCTGACCCATAGAAACTGTGGGATAATAAATGTCTGTTGTTTTAAACTGCTAAGTTTTGAAGTAATGTGTTTTGCAGCAATAGATAACTAATACATTGTGAGTCTAAGTGCTGAAAAGTTAGAAAGCACCAATTACTCCCAAGAAAAGAAAAATAAGACTTTATCCCAACAGATCCCTGCTGGCTACAGAAAGGATAACATTTAAATTCTAACTAAAAGGCCATCAATGATGTCCCTGAAGAAAGAGCACCACTACCAACACCGTAGTAAGAAAAAAGGAAGAATATTTCTTTTATTAATACCTAAAATCACATAGATGTCTCTCATCTGAAAGAATAGAATTTCTGGTAAGTATTTCAGATACCTAAAAAAAAAAAAAACAAGATTAACACCTTCTATGTGTCAGGCACTGTGCTGGGTACTACAGATACAACCACAAAGTTAAGCCTGATCCCTGCCCCAACAATACCTTTAAAAAAAAAAATCTGTGTATATGAGATTTATAAGCTGATATCTTGGGATGTGTATAGACAGCAAAATGGTTACTACAGTGAAAACATCTATCATAGTTACTATGTGTGTGTGTGTAAGTGTTACAAGCAGCTAAATTACTTAATAAAAATCCTTAATACAGTTTTGTTTTATTAACTATAGTCTTCATGTTATACATAAGCTCTCCAGACTTCTTCATTCTATATATCTGCTATTTTATTATCTATATAACCCCATTTCCTTCCTCCTCCTGCCCAAGGTAACCACTGTTTTATTCTCTGTCTCCGTATACTTGACTTTTTAAAAACATTCCACATATAAGTGAGATTATATAGTATTTTTCTTTTTGTGCGTGGTCTATTTCACTTAGCATAAGGTCCAACCAAGTTGTGGCAAATGACAGAATATCCTTCTTTTTAAAGGCTGAATAACGTTCCATTGTATAAACACACACATACACACACATTTTCTTTATCAATTTGCCATCAACAGACATTTAGGTTGTTTCCATATCTTGGCTACCTTGTAAATAACACTGCAATGAACATGGGAGTGCAGACACCTTTATGAAGTGATTTCATCTCCTTTAAGTATCCACCCTGAAGGGGGACTTGCCCTAGCTATACTTTTGAAACACAAAAATTTCTATAAAATAAGGATTTTAAGTGATAACTGATTCTAAGGATATATTGTTTTATTACAGAGTTGACACGAAATTTTTGTCTTTATAAAATTACTTGCTAGGGATCTTCTATTTGATCATCCAAGATAACAGTATTGCTATAAACAACTACTAATTAGCACTTACTGAGCACAAGTACCAGGCACTAAACACATTATACACCTCATTGAATCCCACAATTGTCATTATCTCAATTAATCTCTCAGTCTGAGTCTCTGCCACTCTCCTTTTATTCTCCCACCACTTTCCTTATTCATACTTTCGGAGATGCCATCCTGAACCCCACAGCAGTAAGCTTCCTTGACCTCTCCTACATGATTCTTATTACTGTAATTACATAACCAGATGATACGTTGTTTAATATCCACTGTTGTGCTAGAATGTAAATTCCATGGGAGCAGGGAAGGTATCTTTCTTGTAATCGTTTTATCCCCTATGGTCAGGAGTTTTAAAAGGCAATTAGTACATGCTTGCTAAGAAAAGAAAAATGAACTGGTATGTTACACCGCCTCTTGCTGCCCTCAACAATCACCTTTTTACTGCTTAGGGCAGTATGCTTCTAACTGTTGTCCAAGAACAAGTGGTCTCTCCAAGTCTACCAACCAGTCTACAGATAATTTGGTGATCTCAGAGGAAGAGACCCACCAACGATTACCTTCACCTGTGTTTTACAAACTTGAACTGTAAAATAATATTTCTACAATAATCCTACTTCCTTACTTTGTTACTTTCTTAACGAGTGAAAATCTCTATACCATAAACCAGCAGCCTCTTTCCTTTATCTTGCTTCCAAGTCCGAAAATCAGACATACATCTTCCCAGGCAACCAACCACGCAATATTTTCTGGAACAAACTAATGTTCAAAGAAAAGACATACATTTAGAAAGCCTCCAACAATAAAGTTAGTTCTCCACCAACTTACCCTAGCCCATGCACATGAGCTTCCAATTATCTCACATTTAAGAGTAGATCTGCATTTTTTTCCAGCTTGAGGTATAATTGACAAAAATAATAATTTAAGGTCTACATGATAATTTAATAGATGTATACATTCTGAAATGATTACCACGATCAACTGACACATCCATCATCACAGTTACCGTGTGTGTGTGTGTGTGTGTGTGTGTGTGTGTGTGTGTCTGTGTAAAACATTTAAGATCTAAGAGTAGGCCAGGCGCAATGACTCATGCTGTAATCCCAGCACTTTGAGAGGCCGAGGCAGGCCGATCACTTGAGGACAGGAGTTTCAGACCAGCCTGGCCAATATGGTGAAACCTCATCTCTACTAAAAATACAAAATTTAGCCACGCATGGTGGCACATGCCTGTAATCCCAGCTACTTGAGAGGCTGAGGCACAAGAATTTCTTGAACCTGGGAAGTGGAGGTTGCAGTGAGCTGAGATCATGCCACCGCACTCTAGCTTGGGCGAGAGAATGAGACTGTCTCAAAAAACAAACAAACAAAACTTAGATATTTAAAGTGAAAACAGCTCAGAATCACCAGGTATAAGGAAACCTTATTAACATGAAAGAAAAAGAACCAAGTACACACAATTAATTTTGAGAAAAAAGATAATGAAGAATGAGAAGAAAACTTCAAAATACGGTAAATTATTAGTATCTTAAAAAATACTTAAAAATTTAAAGAATGCTGCCTCTGATCCCAGCACTTTGGGAGGCCAAGGTGGGCATATCACGACATCAGGAGATTGAGACCATCCTGGCTAACACGGTGAAACCCCGTCTCTACTAAAAATACAAAAAAAAAAAAAATTAGCCTGTAGTCCCAGCTACTCAGGAGGCTGAGGCAGAAGAATTGCGTGAACCTGGGAGGCGGAGCTTGCAGTGAGCCGAGATTGCACCACTGCACTCCAGCCTGGGCAACAGAGCGAGACGCTGACTCAAAAAAAAAAAAAAACTAAAGAATGCTATTTTTAAAATAGAGAGAGCAGGCCAGGTGCAGTGGCTCACACCTATAATCTCAGCACTTTGAGAAGCCCAGGCGGGTGGATCACCTGAGGTCAGGAGTTCGAGACCAGCCTGGCCAACATAGTGAAACTTTGTCTCCACTAAAAATACAAAAATTAGCCAGGTGTGGTAGTAGGCACCTGTAATCCTAGCTACTCAGGAGGCTGAGGCAGGAGAATCACTTGAACCCGGGAGGTGGAGGTTGCAGAGTGCTGAGATCGTGCCATTGCACTCCAGCCTGGGCGACAGAGCCAGACCCTGTCTCAAGAAAAAAGAAAGAAAGAAAGAAAACATTAAAGAGTTGGAAGATAAAGTCAAGATATTTTCTACAAAAAAAGAACAAAAGAAAGACCATGAAAGAAAAAAATGTAAAACATTACATGAGTAATCAATTCCAACATGTGAAAAAAAGAAAAAAATTAATAAATAAGATAGGAAGACGTTGCCAGAGAATAACACAAGAAGTTTTCCAGACTTGAAGAGTCTCTAAACTAAGTAAGACCCATTTGGTATCCCAACATGTTATTATTGAACTGCAGAATAGCAAGGACAAATAAAAAAAAATTCCAAGGATTCTAGAAAAGAAAAAATAAACAGATTGATGACAACGTAACAGAAACCAGAATGGCATTGGGGTTAGCAATAATCTCAGTGATAAACTAAAAGGCAATGGAGAAATTCTTTCCAAATTCTGAGAAAAAAAATTATTTCATATTAGAACTTAAGACCTAGACAAATTATCAATTTTTTTTTCAAAAAAGGTAGAATAAAGACATTCTCAAACATTCAAGGTCTCAAAATTTATCTCCTTTGTACTTTTTTTTTTTTCCAGCAAGCTAGTGGAAGGTGTGTTGTAAATGAATGAGATCCACAAAACAAGGGAATCAACACAGGAGACAAGCAATAGGAATTTCCAAAATGATGCTGAAGGGAGAACACAGGATGATAGCTGCACACCTGGTATAGCAAGCAGCCAATTCTAAACACTAGCATGGGAGGAAATCCTCAAGGAAAATGGTCACACTGAACAGATTAACAGGTTTGACCCTATGTGAAAAACTGTACTGAGAACGTGTTAATGATGGAAAGAAATAACAATAGCTACATAAAAACTGAAGCAAATGAAAAAAATGAGGCTAAATGAGACATTACATTTAGGAGACACAAAAAGTTGTACCAGAAAGTAAACTTAATCACAGTACACTACTTGGCTCAGCCTCAAACAATATTACATACATCTAATTGTAGTTCCAGAAGAAAACTAATAGAAATACAGAAAAGAAACAATATTTGAGAAGGTAATGGCTTTTTAGAACTGTTAGACAACAACAAATGTCACTCCCAAGAAGTCCAAAAACTCAAAGCAGAATAGAGATCCATATACCTACAAACATTTTGGTGAAACTACAGAACAAACAACAAAAAGGAGACCTAAAAAAACAACTGGAGAGAAAATGTCACCTATAAAATAAAGGCAATTATGTCAACTGAATTCTCAATGGCTATGATAGCAGACAGATAGTGAAATAGTATCTTTAACATACTGAGGGAAACATAACTGTCCAGAATTCTATATATCCAGCAAAACTATCATTCAAGAATAAGGGAGAAATAAAGATACAGTAGTCTCCCCTTATCCATGGGGCATAAGTTCCAAGAGCCCCAGTGGATGCCTGAATCCAGGGATAGTACTGAACCCTATATATATACTATGTTTTTTTCCTACACATACATGCCTATAAAAAAGTTTAATTTATAAGACACAGTAAGAGATCGACAATAATAACTAATTTTAAAAAAAGAACAATTATAACAATATTCCAGCGTCACTGCTCCTCCTCCTTGGGGCCATTACTATATAAAATAAGGGTTAACTGAACACAGCACTACAATATCATGACAGTCAATCTGATAAATGAGATGGCTACTAAGTGACTAACAGGCAGGTACCATACACAGTGTGGATACACTGGACAAAGGGATGATTTGCATCCCAAGTAAGACGAAGCAGGACTGTGTGAGATTTCATCACACTACTCAAAACAGCATGCAATTTTAAACTTATGAATTGTTTATTTCTGGAATTTTCCATTTAACATTTTCAGACTGCAGTTGACTGTGGGCAACAAACCATAGAAAGCAAAACTGCTGATAAGTGGTTGTGGGGGGAGCGGGGAGACTACTGTATTTTCTTTCCTTTTTTTTTTTTTTTTTTTTTGAGACAGAGTCTTGCTCTTTCACCCAGGCTGGAGTGCAGTGGCACAATCTCAGCTCACTGCAACCTCCGCCTCCCAGGTTCACGTCATTCTCCTGCCTCAACCTACTGAGTAGCTGGGACTACAGACGCCCACCACCACACCTGGCTATTTTTTGTATTTTTAGTAGAGATGGGGGTTTCACCGCGTTAGCCAGGATGGTCTTGATCTCCTGACCTTGTGATCCGCCCGCCTCGGCCTCCCAAAGTGTTCGGATTACAGGCGTGAGCCACCGCGCTGGCCCTGTATTTTCAAAGAAAGGAAAGTAAGAGCAATTACTGCAACAGACCCTCATCAAAAGAAATTCTAAAGAATATGCTTCAAGCAGAAGTAAAATGAACCCAGAGGTAAATTCTGAGACTCAAGGGGTAAAAAAATGAAACAGTTGAATAAAAGGCACATAAGAAAATGGCAGAGCTGGGGGTGGTGGTTCACACCTGTAATCACAACACTTTGGGAAGCTGAGGCAGGTGGATCGCTTGAGCTCAGGAGTTCAAGACTAGCCCCTGGGAAACACAGTAAGATGCTGTCCCTACAAAAAAAAAAAATGTTTTTTAATTATCTAGACAAGATGGCACATGCCTATAGTTCCAGCTACTTAGGAGGCTGAGCTGGGAGGATCACTTGAGCCCAGGAGACAGAGGTTGCAGTGAGCCATGATCACACCACTGGACTCAAGTTAGGGCAACAGAGAAAGACCCCTGTTTCAAAAAAGTAATAATAATTAGATTAAATTTTAAAAAGAAAATGGCAGAAAGGAATCCAAAGATGTCAGTCATCACAATGAATGTAAATGAACTAAACTCTCCAGGCAGAAGAAAAAAAAACCATCAGACTGGTTTCCCATGAACTGTTTATAAGAGACAAACATAAAGCATACAGGCACAGAAATATTGATAGTTAAGAAATGGAAAAAGATCTATCAGGCAAATAGAAACAAGAGAAAACTGGAGTGGACTAAGATAAAAAGGACTAGAGATCAAGAGGGGCACTACATGATGATACAGGACTCAAATCAACTGTAAGATATTGTAAGCCTCTATGCACCTAATAACACACACACAAAACTGACACATCTGCAAGAAAAAAGCATAAACATACTAATTCAGTGAAAGATTTCCTAACTTACCTTTCTCAGTAGTAAGATCTAGCAGACAAAAAAGAATCAGAATTTAGAAGAGTTGAACTGCTTAATAAACTTGATCAAACTCCTATGTAAAAATCACACTCAAGAACTTGGGACTACATATCATTTTCAAGAAGACATGAAAACTTTATAAAAATGGACTGTATGCTTATGGTAGCCAGACTCCAAGATGGTCTGCAAGTATTCCTACATTCTGATATCCACACCCGTGTGTCATCCTCTCTCATCTGGTATTCGGGTTGTTCTGCATAACCAATATTATACGGCAAGCAGGAAGGTATGTAACTTCTAAGGATCATGAAAGAATGTGGCTTTTGATTCTCTCAGATCACTCACTCTGGGAGACGTCAGCTGCCACATTACAAGCAGCCAGATGGAGAAGCCCAAGTAGAAAGGAACTGAGACCTCTTACAAATGGCCAGCAAAGAACTGAGGCCTCCTGCCAAAAGCTATGTAAGTGAATTTACTTGGAAGCAAATGCTCTACCCCCAGTCAAGCCTTCAGATTACTACAGACCCAGCCAAGACTGTCACTGCAGCTTCATGAAAGACTCTGAGCCAGAAACACTCAGTTCAGCCACTAATGGATTTCAGATGGACAGAAACTTTATGTGATAATAAATGTTTGTTGTACAAAACGGCTACATTTGGGAATAATTTATAACATAACAATAAATAACTAATAAATATGTTCAAGGTCATAAAGCTAAGTTCAAATTTGAAATTACTGGTAACATATAAACCATAACATGTTTCATATTCATATGAAACACTCTAGGTGAAAGGAGAAATCATAATTGAAAACATTATATGGAAATATGAAATTGAAAAATAAAAAGCCAATTATTGAAACTTGTAGGATACAATTAAAGCAGCATTTAATAAATTTATAACTTTGAATACTTACAATCAAATGAAATATTCAAAACTGATGAGCTTAAATATAACTCTAAAAGTCAGAAAACGTGCTAGGTACAGTGGCTTCCACTTATAATCCCAGCACTTTGGGGAGGCTAAGGCAGGAAGATTGCTTGAGTCCAAGAGTTCGAAGATGCAGTGAGCTATGCTCATGATACTGTACTCTAGTCTGCATGACAGAGCAAAAACCTCTATTAAAAAAAAACCAAAAAGTCATAAAACCACCTAACACTCATTAGGATGGCTACTATCAAAAAGAGACATGAAATAAGGCCAGACGCAGTGGCTCATGCCTGTAATCCCAACATTTTGGGAGGCCGAGGCAGGCAGATCACTTGAGGTCAGGAGTTCAAGACCAGCCTGGCCAACATGGCGAAACCCCATCTCTACTAAAAATACAAAAATTAGCCAGACATGGTGGCAGGTGCCAGTAGTCCCAGCTACTAGGGAGGCCAAGGCAGCAGAATCGCTTGAACCCGGGAGGCGGAGGTTGCGGTGAGCCCAGATCACACTACTGCATTCAAGCCTGGGCAACAGAGTGAGACTCTGTCTCAAAAAAATAAAAAAAAAGACACAAAATAACAAACGTAAATGAGGATATGGAGAAATTGGAACCCTTGTGCACTACTGATGGGAAAGTAAAATAGTGCATATACCTATGGAAAACAGTAAAACAGTTCCTCAACATATTACAAATAGAATTACCATATGATCCAGCAACCCTACTTCTAGGTACATATGCAAAAGAACTGAAAGCAGGGTCTTGAAGTGGTATCTGCACACCCATGTTCATGGCAGCATTATTTACAATAACCAAAAGGTGAAAGTAACCCAAATGTCCTGAATGGATAAAGAAAATGTGGTTTACACAAATAACAGAATATTATTCAGCCTTTAAAAGGTAGGAAATTCTGACATATGCTGCAATGTGGATTAACCTTGAAGACATTACACTAACGGAAACAAGCCAGTTATAAAAAGACAAATACTGTATGACGCCACTTATTTGAGGTATCCAGGGTAGTCAAATTCATAGAAACAGAAAGTAGAATGGTGGTTTCCAGTGGCTGGGAACATGGAGGAATGGGAAGTTCTAGTTTAATGAGTAAAGGGTTTCAGTTTTTTGAGATGAAGGGAGTTCTGTAGATTGGTTACACAACAAGGTGAATGTACTTAATACTACTGAACTATACACTTAGGAACAGTTAAGATGGTAACGTTTATGTTATGTGCATTTTTCCACATTTAAACATAAGATTAAGGCCAGGCACGGTGGTTCATGCCTGTAATCCCAGCACTTTGGGAGGCCGAAGCAGGTGGATCACCTGAGGTCAGGAGTTCGAGACCAGCCTGGCCAAAATGGTGAAATCCCATCTCTACTAAAAATACAAAAATTAGCCGGGCATGGTGGCGAGCGCCTGTAATCCCAGCTACTTGGGTGGCTGAGGCAGGAGACTCACTTGAACTCGGGAGGCAAATGTTGCAGTGAGCTGAGATCACGCCACTGTACTCCAGCCTGGGCAACAACAGTGAAACTCCGTCTCAAAAAATAAATAAATAAGTAACATTAAAAAGTTAGGGGAAAAATGCATAGCAGAATAAACCCAAGGAAAGAAAATGTAACAACAAAATTAACAAAACAGAAAACAAAGTTTAAAAAGCTAAGAAATGAGTCTTTTTATTTTTTTGAGATGAAGTCTTGCTCTGTGGCCCAGGCTGGAATGCAGCGGCATGATCTCCACTCACTGCAACCTCCTCCTCCTGGGTTCAAGCGATTCTCCTGCCTCGGCCTCCTGAGTAGCTGGGATTACAGGCGTCTGCCACCACACCCAGCTAGTTTTTGTATTTTTAGTAGAAACGGTGTCACTATGTTGGTCAGGATGGTCTCAAACTCTCGACTTCAAGTGATCCATCTACCTCAGCCTCGCAAAGTGCTGGGATTACAGGCATGACCCACCAAGTCTGGCCTAGAAATGAGTCTTTAAAAATACACTGAGGCCAGCCACAGTGGCTCACGCCTGTAATCCTAGCACTTTTGGAAGCCAAGAAAGAAGATCATTTGAGCCCATGAGTTCAAGACCAGCCTGGGCAACAAGGTGAGACCCCGTCTCTACAAAAAAAATTTAAAAATTAGCTAGGGATGGTGACATGTGCCTGTAGTCCCAGCTACTTGAGAGGCTAAGGTGGGAGGACTGCTTGAGCCCAGGAGGTTAAGGCTGCAGTGAACAGTGATCACACCACTGCACTCCAGTCTGGATGACAGAGTAAGACCCTGTCTCAAAAAAATAAAAACGAAATACACAAACAGAAAAAAAAACATGAAAAAATAAAGAAATAAACATTAGGGGTGAAATATTAGACACAACTTCAGTTAACACAGAGATTAAATAGATTATATAAACTCCCCAATTGATTTTATAAGGCTAGAATCACCTTGATATGAAATCCAGACAACAGCTATATAAGAAAATTACAAACCAATCTTACTCATAGATACAAACATCCTAAACAAAATATCAGCAAGTTTACACCAACAACTGATTTGTTAAATTTATACATTTCAATAAGAACAGCCCACAGAATGTAACATCAATGTAATTATTAGAAATCATGAAAAGCCACAGGGAGGGGGCTCCAAGATGGCCAACTAGCTGCAGCCAGTAGGAACATCTCCCAGAGGATCAGGATGACTGGCACACTCTTAGCAGATCTTCAGAGGGAAAGCACTGAGTGCTGACAGAGGGAAGACACAGATGCTGAACTGACGAGGGAAGAAGTAAGGAACCCTGCACAGGGCTACCACGCACCGGGACTTTTTCCTGGCCCCCAGTGACTCCTGAAGAGGCAGTTGAGTTGAACAGGGAAGCAGCAACCCACTCTCACCAGGGGACTCTGGAATCCCTGCAGAAGGAGACTCCTCCACCACAAGGAGACCCCTCAACCACCAAGGACACTTGAGCTGGCAGGGAAAGCTGCTTAGAGAAGTGGTAGGGGCAGAACTCCAGCCAGGGCAGAGCTCAGAGGTTTTGGTGCTGGAGCATCTGTAGTGCAACAGGGCCAGGAGTGCCCATCCCCCAAGGCTCGACTTGCTCCCATAGGAGACTTTAGCCCTAGAGGAACTGCCAGACCTGAACTCTGCAGGGCAGTCTTGCCCATAAGGTGGGGGTGGTGTGACCTGAGTACCCTCAGTCTGCTGGTCTCTCATGGGGCTCCAGCCTGGCCAGGATGCTTGCAGTACTGCCGGGGGGGGCCACATACCAGCTCCTGCACTGACAAGGTGCTGACAGGCAGAGTGCTCCAACCACAGTGATCCCTGTGGAAAAGCACGAGCCTGCCAATACCCTCCTCCCACCGAAGGCTGCTCCATGCTGCTTTGCCTGCAGGCACTCGCCCATGGCCACCCTCCAAATGCTTTGCCCACACGTGTGCACAGGTGTACCTTGTTTTCCCTTCCCCGCCAGCACACATGCGTGCAAGCACCCTCCCATGCCACTGCAGCCAGCGTGAGTACACCCTGCCTATCCCTCCATGGCCATTGTCAAGGGAGCACTGGCAGGTACAGAGCCCACCAGTGCCATCCCCACCAGCACTGAGCCCCTGCACCAACATGAAACTAGGCAGAGAAAACAGAGGACCCACCCCCACCCCTTACCGGCCACTGAAGCCAGCATGAACGTGCACAGAGGGCACACCCAGTCCTGCACCCACCAGCACCCTGCCCCTGTGCTAACACCACCACCAGTGCATGTGTACCAGCAGCCCCCCGCCCTGGCCTTACTGCCACTGTTGCTGCCAATGCCCACATGGAGGCCAGCACCCTGTGGCCTTGCTGCCACTGCTACTGGCACATGCGAACAAGAATTGATTCCACTGCCACCCCCTACACTTTGGCTGGCACAACCCACGGGAGTATTGTGACCAGAGGTCCAGGAGCACCTCGGCCCCTCCAGTGCAGCAGGTTCCTAACCTTAAAGAACCAGAGAACAAAGCTGGGGCCCAATGCCAGTCCCCCAGAGTTGGAGGACCCATGTACTCCGGGAGTCCTGAGATGAGCCCTGGCCCCTCCAGTAATGAAGCCAGTTAACTGAACCTACCTTGTACCACAAACATCCAAGGTCATCATATAGGATAAAAAAAAAAAAACAAAAAAAAACAGCGACTTCAAAGACTGAAGGAACATCAGCCCACAAAGATGACAAAGCACCAACACAAGAACTCTGATGACTCAAAAAGCCAGAGCATCTTCTTTCCTCTAAAACAAACGACTGCACTAGCTCTCCGGCAAGGGTTCTGAACTGGACTGAGATGGTTGAAATGACAGAAACAGAATTCAGAATATGGATAGGAATGAAAATCATTGAGATTCAGGAGAATGTTGAAACCCAATGTAAGGAAGCTACCCACAATAAAACGATACAGAGCTGACAGACAAAATAGCCAGTATAGAAAAGAATATAAACGACCTCATACAGCTAAAAAACACTCTATAAGAATTTCATGGCCGGGCGCAGTGGCTCACACCTGTAATCTCAACATTTTGGGAGGCCAAGACAGGCGAATCATGAGGTCAGGGGTTCAAGACCAGCCTGGTCAACATGGTGAAACCCCGTCTCTACGAAAAATACAAAAAATCAGATGGGTGTAGTGGCAGGCACCTGCAATCCCAGCAACTCAGGAGGCTGAGGCAGGAGAATCGCTTGAACCCAGGAAGCAGAGGTTGCAGTGAGCTGAGATCGTGTCACTACTCTGTCTCAAAAAAAAAAAAAAAAAAAATTTCATAATGCAATCGCAAGTATTAACAGTAGAACAGACCAAGCTGAGAAAAGAATCTCAGCGCTTGAAGATTGGCTTTCTGAAATAAGAAGACAGACAAGAATAAAGACAAAAGAATGAAAAGGAACAAACAAAACCCCCAAGAAATATGAAATTATATAAAGAGACTAAATATATGATTCACTGGTATCCCTGAAAGATATGGGGAGAAAGGCAGCAACTTGGAAAACATATTTCAGGATATCATTCATGAGAACTTCCCCAACCTAGCTAGAGAAGTCAACATTCAAATTCAGGAAATAAAGAGAACTCCCACAAAATATTTCACAAAAAGATAATCTCCAAAAAACAGAATCATCAGATTCTTCAAGGCAGAAATGAAAGAAAAAAATGTTAAAGGTGGCTAGAGAGAAAGGACATGTCACCTATAAAGGAAAGCCCATCAGACTAACAATGGACCTCTCAGTAGAAACTATACAAGTCAGAAGAGATTGGAGGTCTATATTCAACATTCCTTTTTTTTTTTTTGAGACGGAGTCTCACTCTTGTCACCCAGGCTGGAGTGCAGTGGCGCGATCTAGGCTCACTGCAAGCTCCGCCTCCCGGGTTTACTTACGCCATTCTCCTGCCTCAGGCTCCCGAGTAGCTGGGACTACAGGCGCCTGCTACCATGCTTGGCTAATTTTTTGTATATTTAGTAGAGACAGGGTTTCACGGTGTTAGCCAGGATGGTCTCGATCTCCTGACCTCATGATCTGCCCGCCTCGGCCTCCCAAAGTGCTGGGATTACAGGTGTGAGCCACAGCACCCAGCCACAACATTCTTAAAGATAAGAAATTCCAACCCAGAATTTCATATTGGGCCAAACTAAGCTACATAAGCAAAGGAAAAATAAGATCCTTTTCAGGCAAGCAAATGCTGAGGGAATTCGTTAGTACCAGACCTACCTTACGAGAGCTCCTGAAAGCAGCACTAAATATGGAAAGGAAAGAACATTATCAGACACTAAAAAAAACACACTTAAGTACATAACCAGTGACACTACAAAGCAACCATGCCAACAAGTCAGCATAATAACCAGCTAACAACATGATGACACAATTAGATCCACACATATCAATACTAACCTTGAATGTAAACGGGCTAAATGCCCCAGTTAAAAGGCACTGAGTGACAAGCTCAATAAAGAAGCAACAACCCTGGGGCTGGGTGCAGTGGCTCACACCTATAATCCTAACACTTTGGGAGGTCGAGGCAGGTGGATCACTTGAGCTCAGGAATTTGAGACCAGCCTGGCCAACAGGATGAAACCCCATCTCTAAAAAAAAAAAAAAAAAATACAAAAATCAGCCAGGCATGGTGGCACACGCCTGTGGTCCCAGCTACTCGGGAGGCTGAGGTGGGATGATGGCTTGAGCCCAGGTGATCAAGGCTGCAGTGAACTGTGATTGCGCCACTGCATTCCAAAAACAAAACCAAACAAAACAAAACAGAAGTGCAAGGTACAGAAGAGGTCAATGTACAAAAAAAATATTAATTAAAAACAACACATAGCTTCCCAATGTCATCTCCCCTATTCAACATTAAAAGCCCTCAACAGATGCACAGAGAAAAAAAAAGATTGAAGATAAAGAAACAAAGCTACAACTATTTGTAGATCATCCACTGTCTACATAGATAACCCCAAAGAATCTAGATATAAGTCAGTAATAGCACAAAAACAGGCCAGATGTGGTGGCTCACACCTGTAATCCTAGCACTTTGGGAGGCTGAGACTAGAGGATCACCTGAGGCCAAGAGTTTAAGACCAGCCTGGGCAACATAGCAAAACCCCGTTTCTTTAAATAAAAAAAAAAAAAAAGTATAAAGACAAAATATAAGTTAATTTCATTTCTATATACAATCAGAAAATATAACTTTTTAAATATCATGTATAAATAATAAAAATATTCTAGGAAAAACTGACATTTTATGTAGAAGTTCTTTATATAAGGAGAAAATTATAAAACTTAACTGGAATGATTTTTTAAAACATAAAATAAATAGAAAGTCATATTATGTTCTTAAATAGGAAGCCTCAATATCATAACAATGTCAATCAATTCTTCCCAACTTGATCCAAAGACTCAATGCAATACCATTCAAAATCCCAGTATCATTTTTTGCGGAAATCAATAAACTGACTGTAAAACCAATATGGAAAGGCATTATTATAAGTCTTTTGGGGACCTGCCATACTTTATACTAAGAATTATTATAAAGCAACCACAATCAGGACAAATAATCAAGTGGATTACTGGCACTAGAGGAGAGAGCCGAACTGAGAGTCTAGAAACTGAGCCTGTGCATATACTGACACTTAATATTCACCCAAGCAAGCACTGAGATCACAGGAGAAAAAATGCACTACTCAATAAATAGGCTGGAACAATCAGTTATCTGTTATCATATGGCAAAAAAATAAAAGTGGATCCTTACAAAAAAAGTCTTTCCATGTGGATTAGAGACTTCAATGTAAAAGTGAAAAGCAAACAACTTTTAGAAAATAGAGAATTATCTTAATGATAGGACACAAAAAAATTTTAAAACATAAATCATAGAAGACTGATAAATTCAGCTGCAGTAAGATCAAGAATTTCAATCACCGAAGTTTTTTTTAATCCAATCATAAATTGGAAAAGATATTTGCAACACAAATCTAGAATTAGATCTAGGCTAGGCACTGTGGCTCAAATCTACAATCTCAACACTTTGGGAGGCTGAGGTGGGTAGATCACTGGAGCTCACGAATTCAAGACCAGCCTGGGGAACATGGCAAAACCCCATCTCCACAAAAAATACAAAAATTAGCCAGGCACAGTGGCGCGTACCTGTAGTCCCAGCTACTCAAGAGGCTGAGGTGGGAGGATAGCTTGAGCCTAGCAAAGGTTGCAATGAGCCAAGATTGCACCATTGCACTTTAGCCTGGGTGACAGAGCCAGACCCTGTCTCAAAAAACAAGAGAATTAGATCTAAAACCATAAAAAATTGCTATGAATCAATCAGGAAAAATTAAACAATCCAAACAGAAAAATGGGCAAAAAGTATATACAGACACTTCACAGAATAAGAAACACAAATACATTTCACAGAATAAATAACACAAATGCTCTATGAATATCCGAAAAGAAACTAAACCTCATTGGTAGTCAAGGAAATACAGATTCAAATTACAATGAAACAACATTTCTTACCCACCAGATACATAATTTTTTTTTCTTTTTTTTTAGACGAAGTGTCGCTCTTGTTGCCCAGGCTGGAGTGCAATGGCAAGATGTCAGCTCACTGCAACCTCCGCCTCCCAGGTTCAAGCAATTCCCCTGCCTTAGCCTCCCGAGTAGCTAGCACTACAGGTGCATGCCACAACGTCCAGCTAATTTTTTTGTATTTTTTAGTAGAGACCGGGTTTTACCACGTTGGCCAGGCTGGCCTTGAACAGGTGTAAGCCACTGCACCCGGCCCCATAAAATTTTTTAAAGAAACAATTCTAAGCTTTGGCAAGGACACAGAGCAATAGGAATACTTCTATATTGCAGTTGGGAGTGTCAACTGATTCAATCACTTTAAAAAATAATTTGGTGGCCAGGCGCAGTGGCTCACGCCTGTAATCCTAGCACTTCAGGAGACGGAGGTGGACAGATCACTTGAGGTCAGGAGTTCGAGACCAGCCTGGCTAACATGGCGAAACCCCGTCTCTAATAAAAATACAAAAATTAGCTGGGCATGGTGCTCGCTCCTGTAATCCCAGCTACTCAGGAGGCTGAGGCAGGAGAATCGCTTGAACCCAGGAGGCAGAGGTTGCAGTGAGTCCAGATCGTGCCATTACACTCCAGCCTGGGGGAGAAGAGAGAAACTCCATCTCAAAAAAAAAATTAATTAAAAATTTTTAAAAATTAGAAAAATTTGGCATTACTTAGTAAAGCTAAACAAACCCATACCCCATAAAATGAAAAATTCTGCTCCCAGACATATACTTCAAATTCCTGCATGTGCACAAAAGACATGAATAACAATGTTCGTAAGCAGCATTCTTAGTAATAGCAAAAAACTAGAAACAATCCAAATGTGCATCAATAGCCCAGATATATATATATATACAATATATACAAATAATGAACTAATGTATAGCAGTAAAACTGAATGAACTGCATACAATACCATAGATTAACGCTCAAAAGAAAAATGATGCTTACAAAAGAAATCAGAATACTTACAGTATTATTCCATTACATGAAAATCAAAATAAGTAAACAAAGCAATACATTGTTCATGGAGACATAAAGAAAAGAAAGGAAATTTTAAAATACAATTCAAGATAGTGGTAGGGGGAATGGTAAGAAAAGAACTGTGATTTGGGCCATAGAGGTGTTTCCACAGCATTGGGAATGTTGTTTTTTACTCTGTGAATTGATAAGAGTTCACCATGTTTTTTTTTTTTTAAGTATAAACTGTACAAACATGATTCACATAATCTTACAAGTTTCACAGTATGTTTTAAGTCAAATAAAAATTCAAGGCCAGGCACGGTGGCTCACGCATATAATCCCAGCACTTTGGGAGGCCAAGGCGGACAGATCATGAGGCCAGGAGATCGAGACCATCCTGGCTAACACAGTGAAACACCGCCTGTACTAAAAATACAAAAAAAAATTAGCCCGCATGGTGGCAGGCACCTGTAGTCCCAGCTACTCAGGAGGCTAAGGCAGGAGAATGGCATAAACCTGGGAGGCGGAGCTTGCAGTGAGCCGAGTTCGCACCACTGCACTCCAGCCTGGGCGACAAGAGTGAGACCCTGTCTCAAAAAAAAAAAAAAAAAAAAAAAATTCAAGAATACAAATATATGCTTCCTGAAGCATTGTTTATAATAAAACAAAAACACAAGCAAAAAAAAAAAAAACCCTGAAAACAAATTAAGTGTTCCTCTATACCAGAAATGGATAAACTGACATACTGATAATAGAATATTATACGTGCAGTTAAAATGAGTTAACTTAATACTCATGTATAAATAGGGAGCAAGTCTTAGAATAGGTTTAAAAAGCAAGCTGCAAGGCCAGGAGTGGTGGTTCACACTTATAATCCCAGCACTTTGGGAGGCCAAGGTAAGAGGATTCCTTGGGGCCAGGAGTTTGAGATCAGCCTAGGCAACAAGGCAAGGCCCTGGCTCTGCAAAAAAAAATTAAAAATAAAAAATAAAATTTAAAAAAGCAAATTGCAGAATATTTACAAGAACATTTTTTATGTAAAAATGTTAAACTGTAATTTTTTTATGAACACAAACATATGTAATAAAAGGATAAAAATGGACAGAGTACAAATTAACTTCAGAATAGTAGTTAACAGAAAGGATAGAATGGGATCAGAGAGGGGTTTAAAGACAGCTTCAACTATTTCTGGGATCCTTTGCAAATTAGAAGTATTTATAATTTAAAAATAAAAATATCCCCCCAAAAGAAAAATATAAAAATATTCTCTCTCCTTCTCCCCCTAACACATAAACATATAAAGAGACAAAAATAATAGAAAAGAGAAAAAATGCTTTCTAGAACAAAATGGAATAGGAGGCTACTTGCCACTATCGCCCAAGCTGGTACATTCAACCTTGCTTAAAGGAATGTTATTCTTGGATTTCCCAGACTTTAGAATTGTGAGAAGTAAGTTTCTGTTGTTTATAAACTACCAAATCTATGGTATTTTGTTATAGCAGCCTAAACTGACTAAGATATTTACCAAAACAAGCTGCCTCTAGGTCATCATTTTAGCTAACATTTCAACTATCTTCACTTGCAAAAATTAATTATTTTCCTAACATTATTCTTTAAAATGCCATCTGGCCAGTGCGGTGGCTCATGCCTGTAATCCCAACACTAGGAAGGCTGAGGTGGAAAGACCACTTGAGACTAGAAGTTAGAGACTAGGCTGGGTAACAGAGACAGACCCTGTCTCTACAAAATAAAAAGCCATCAACCAAATTTCTGAATAATCCCTTTTCCTAGTTGTATAAAGAAATAATGCAGCTAATGCTAAAAATGAAAATGGAAAATAAGGATTCTGAAAGATTGAGAATGAAGATTATACACATTTAACCATATATATAAATATGGTTGTTAACTCTCCCATAAAGTCAAATAGGCACAATTAAATTATTTGATGTTTACCCCTGGGATTTGAATTTTTAAGAACATATTAACAAAATATCCTAGCACAATTGACAAACTATACATGTTATAAACTAAAAATTGTAGAAGAAAAGTCAGCACAATCAGTGAAGATTCCCATGTAGGCTTCATCTCCTTCATGGGATTGAGAAAACAGTTTTTGAATGGCAAAGATTCTATGCGCTAGTTTTAACATGGCAGTTCAAGCACCTGCCACTGTGCTAAGTTTATAACTTAATTCAAGCCAGAAGCTTCAGCTATTTAGTCACGTACTAATGGCCAGGTTACTTACCAGGCTGAATGAAGGAGAATTTCATTCATTAAAAAAAAGAAAGATGCAGATCAAAATAAACTTGGACTCATCATGAAGAGGGTAGAGCCAACAGAAATTTAGCTACCAGGCTTAAGCCTAGAAGTCCTCTTGACTTTCACACTGAGATGACCCACTGGTCTATTTTTAACCATTTCTTCTCCATACCAAAATGATTCCATTATATTCAACCAGGAAAATAAAAAATTCACCTTCAATTGAGATTACAAACCATATACTTCATATAATTAATCTTCAATTTATCTGAAAACCAATATGCAAATGAAATTACAGAGGTAGAAATGCTCTTTTGGCCCATAAGTAGACACAACTAAAGAAGACAAAGCAGATGCAATTAGATGTTTAAGCCAACAGCACCCATTCAAGCAAAATAAAACAATGTGATACCTATTTCAATGCAAGACTGCATCTAAAGCAGTTGAGGGCATTTGCTTTGATGTGGGGGTGGGAAGAAGGGTCTCCAAAGATAAAGCAGGAAATAACTTCAAAACAACTTTTGGGATCAAAGCCCATTTTTAAGTCCTTTATGAATAACTGAAAACAATTTTCCCCTTTATTCAAAACAATAAACAAGAAACTTGTCATTTACAACTCCTCCCTCTCCTCAACTCTTATTCACTTAAATCTCCTCCTTTCCTCCTTACCCCTATCATCCATCTGAAGCCTTCCAATTTCATCTCCTAAACAAATCTCATGACAAGGTTGCCCCTAATTTCCTATAATGAGTACCCTGGCTCAGATCATCCCTATTATAACAATTTCTTAATTATTATTCTTGCCTTTACTGTCCCTTCAAATCCATCTTCTATATCACTACCAGGAAACACTCTTCAGAACATGTGAGCATGCCACTCACTTGCTTAATACTCTTCAACAGCTCCCTGAACCCACAGAATAAAGTTAAAATTCTTTCATTCATTCAACACTTAATTGCCTATTATAACCAAGCAAGAACTGTGCTAAGCCTGGGGATATTAATGGGACACCATTGAAACACCTGCATCCTTCAGAACCAGAATAATTTTTGTAGGATGAAAAAGTCAAAGTAAATTCTTCCCAGAAAAAAATTCAGCATCTGTGAAAATCCTCAATAAAATTGTGGCAAACCGAATCCAGCAGTACACCAAAAAGCTTATCCCCCATGATCAAGTCAGCTTCATCACTGGGATGCAAGGCTGGCTCAACATATGTAAATCAATAAATGTAATCCATCACATAAACAGAACCAATGACAAAAACCACACGATTATCTCAATAGATGAAGAAAAGGCCTTTGATAAAATTCAACACCCCTTCATGATAAAAACTCTCAATAAACTAGGTACTGATGGAGAGCATCTCAAAATAATAAGAGCTATTTATAACAAACCCACAGCTGGGTGCCTATAGTCCCAGCTACTCGGGAGGCTGAGACAGGAGAATGGCGTGAACACGGGAGGCGGAGCTTGCAGTGAGCCAAGATTGTGCCTCTGCACTCCAGCCTGGGTGACAGAGCGAAACTCCATCTCAAAAAAAAAAAAAAAAAAAAAAAGAATAGTGATTTGCACATAGAAGGGACTCAATAAATATTTGTTGAATGAATGAATATATGAAATAAAATCTTCCATGATCTTGAAGAGAAGTATTTGTCACGTAACTGGTCTTATATGGCAGAATGTCCCTTGTTTACCATTCCTATTCCCTTCTAACCAAATCATGGTATGTATTTTTAGGTATTCTTTGGCATTTCTTTTTGAACACCTGGAAAAATGCTAAAATATGGTTTAAAACTCAATGTTTGTGAATTAGGCTGTTAGGTGCAGCCTGACTTAAGGGATAAGGGCTGAATTATAGAGAAATTGAATTACGCTTTCAAATATGGTATGCATATGAAACTAATACATGGTTGTTGTGTTTTTTTTTAACTAGGTTAAATGTGGTAAATGCACTCTTTTAATTTAGTGTTTTATTAAATTTTGGTATATGTTGTGTTATAAGCATAAAAGTTTCTGAAAGAATTTTTGGGCCTAGAAGTTGTGGGAATTGTTGCTTTCTTTAACTTTTGATTTGAAACAATCACAAATTACACTGGATTCTTAAAAATGTTGTAGGATCTTTAGGGAGCTCAACTGCAGTCCAGATGCTGATTTTTTTTTTTTTTAAATACTTTAAGTTCTGGGATACATGTGCAGAATGTGCAGGTTTGTTACATAGGTATACTCATACTGAATGGGCAAAAACTGGAAGCATTCCCTTTGAAAACCGGCACAAGACAAGGATGCCTTCTCTCACCACTCCTATACAACATAGTATTGGAAGTTCTGGCCAGGGCAATCAGGCAAGAGAAAAAAATAAAGGGTATTTGAATAGGAAAAGATGAAGTCAAACTGTCTCTGTCTGCAGATGACATGACTGTATATTTAGAAAACCCTATCGTCTCAGCCCAAAATCTCCTTTAGCTGAGAAGCAACTTCAGCAAAGTTTCAGGATACAAAATCAATGTGCAAAAATCACAAGCATTCCTATACACCAATAACAGACAAACAGCCAAATCATGAGTGAATTCCCATTCACAATTGCTACAAAGAGAATAAAATACTTAGGAATACACCTTACAAGGGATGTGAAGGACCTCTTCAAGGAGAACTACAAATCACTGCTCAAGGAAATAAAAGAGGATACAAACAAATGAAAAAACATTCCATGCTCATGAATAGGAAGAATCGATATCATGAAAATGGCTGTACTACACAAAGTAATTTATAGATTCAATACTATCCCCATCAAGCTACCATTGACTTTCTTGCAGAATTAGAAAAAACTACTTTAAATTTCATAGGGAACCAAAAAAGAGCCCGTAGAGCCAAGACAATCCTAAGCAACAAGAACAAAGCTGGAGGCATCACACTACCTGACTTCAAACCATACTACAAGGCTACAGTAAACAAAATAGCATGGTACTGAAACCAAAACAGATACATAGACCAATGGAACAGAACAGATACCTCAGAAATAACACCACACATCTATAACCATCTGATCTTTGACAAACCTGACAAAAACAAGCAATGGGGAAAGGATTCCCTATTTAATAAATGATGTTGGCAAAACTGGCTAGCCATATGCAGAAAACTGAAACTGGGCCCTTTTGTTATACCTTATACAAAAATTAACTCAAGATTGATTAAAGACTTAAACATAAGACCTAAAACCATAAAAACCCTAGAAGAAAACCTAGGCAATACCATTCAGGACACAGGCATGGGGAAAGACTTCATGACTAAAACACCAAAAGCAATGACAACAAAAGCCAAAATTGACAAATGGGATCTAATTAAATTAAAGAGCTTCTGCACAGCAAAAGAAACTATCATGAGTGAATAGGCAACCTACAGAATGGGAGAAAATTTTTGCAATCTCTCCATCTGACCAAGGGCTAATATCCAGAATCTACAAAGAACTTAAATTTACAAGAAAAAAAAAAAACCCATCAAAAAGTGGACGAAGGATATAAACAGACACTTCTCAAAAGAAGATATTTATGCAGCCAAAAAACACAGGAAAAAAAGCTCATCATCACTGGTCATTAGAGAAATGCAAATCAAAACCACAATGAGATACCATCTCACACCAGTCAGAATGGCGATCATTAAAAAGTCAGGAAACAACAGATGCTGGAGAGGAGGTGGAGAAACAGGAACTCTTAAGGCCAGGCGCGGTGGCTCACACCTGTAATCCCAGCACTTTGGGAGGCCGAGGCGGGCAGATTACAAGGTCAAGAGATCAAGACCATCCTGCCCAACATGGTGAAACGCTGTCTCTACTAAAGATACAAAAAATTAGCTGGGTGTGGTGGCACACACCTGTAATCCCAGCTAGTGGAGAGGCTGAGGCAGGAGAATTACTTGAACCTGGCAGGCGGAGGTTGCAGTGAGCCAAGATCATGCCACCACACTCCACACTCCAGCCTGGCAACACAGTGAGACTCCATCTCAAGAAAAAAAAAAAAGAGAGAGAGACATAGAAATGCCTTTACACTGTTGGTGGGAGTGTAAATTAGTTCAACCATTGTGGAAGACAGTGTGGCGATTCCTCAAGGATCTACAACTAGAAATACCATTTGACTCAGCCATCCAATTACTGGGTATATACCCAAAGGATTATAAATCATTCTACTATAAATACACATGTACACCTATGTTTATTGCGGCACTGTTCACAATAGCAAAGACTTGCAACCAACCCAAATGCCCATCAATTATAGACTGGATAAAGAAAATGTGGTATATACACACCATGGAATACCATGCAACTATAAAAAAGGATGAGTTCATGTCCTTTGCAGGGACATGGATGAAGCTGGAAACCATCATTCTCAGCAAACTAACACAGGAACAGAAAATCAAACACTGCATGTTCTCATTCATAAGTACGAGTTGAGCAATGAAAACACATGGACACACAGAGGGGAACATCACACACTGGGCCTGTTGCGGGGTGGGGGTTTAGGGGAGGGATAGCATTAGGAGAAATACCTAAGGTAGACGACAGGTTGATGGGTGCAGCAAACCACCATGGCACGAGTATAGCTATGTAACAAACCTGCACATTCTGCACGTGTATCCCAGAACTTAAAGTATTAAAAAAAAAAAAAATCAGCATCTGGACTGCAGTTGAGCTCCCTAAAGATCCTACAACATTTTTAAGAATCCAGTGTAATTTGTGATTGTTTCAAATCAAAAGTTAAAGAAAGCAACAATTCCCACAATTTCTAGGCACAAAAATTCTTTCAGAAACTTTTATGCTTATAACACAACATATACCAAAATTTAATAAAACACTAAATTAAAAGAGTGCATTTACCACATTTAACCTAGTTTAAAAAACAACCATGTATTACTTTCATATGCGTACCATATTTGAAAGCATAATTCAATTTCTCTATAATTCAGCCCTTATCCCTTAAGTCAGGCTGCACCTAACAGCCTAATTCACAAACATTGAGTTTTAAACCATATTTTAGCATTTTTCCAGGTGTTCAAAAAGAAATGCCAAAGAATACCTAAAAATACATATCATGATTTGGTTAGAAGGGAATAGGAATGGTAAACAAGGGACATTCTGCCATATAAGACCAGTCACATGACAAATACTTCTCTTCAAGAGCATGGAAGATTTTATTTCATATATTCATTCATTCAACAAATATTTATTGAGTCCCTTCTATGTGCAAATCACTATTCCTTTTTTTTTTTTTTTTTTTTTTTTTTTTTTTGAGATGGAGTTTTGCTCTGTCACCCAGGCTGGAGTGCAGAGGCGCAGTCTTGGCTCACTGCAAGCTCCGCCTCCCGTGTTCACGTCATTCTCCTGTCTCAGCCTCCCGAGTAGCTAGGACTACAGGAGCCCGCCACCACGCCCAGCTAATTTTTTTTGTATTTTTAGTAGAGACAGGGTTTCACCTGTTAGCCAGGATGGTCTTGATCTCCTGACCTCATGATCCACCTGCCTCAGCCTCCCAAAGTGCTGGGATTACAGGCATGAGCCACCGCGCCTGGCCGCAAATCACTATTCTAAACAGAAAGAATGTAACAGTGAAAAAAGGAAAAATGCTTGTCTTTATCAAACATATACTTAATAAAGAATATAATTAATAAAAACGGTTTTGGAGGTCAGGCACGGTAGCTCACACCTATAATCCCAGCACTCTGGGAGGCTGAGGCAGGAGGATCAACTGAGGTCAGGAGTTCAAGACCAGCCTGGCCAATATGGTGAAACCCCATCCCTACTAAAAATACAAAAATTTAGCCAGGCGTGGCGGCACGCCTGTAGTACCAGCTACTCCAAAGGCTGAGGCAGGAGAATTGCTTGAACTCAGGAGGCAGAGGTTGCAGTGAGCCAAAATAGCACCACTGCACTCCAGCCTGGGCAATAGTGAGACTCCATCTCAAAAAATAATAATAAAAATAAAATGAGCCAGGCACAGTGGCTCATGCCTGTAACCCTAGCACTTTGGGAGGCCGAGGAAGGTGAATCACGAGGTCAGGAGATCGAGACCATCCTGGCTAACACAGCGAAACCCTGTCTCTACTAAAAAAAAAAAAAATACAAAAAAATTAGCTGGGCATGGGGGCGGGCACCTGTAGTCCCAGCTACTCGGGAGGCTGAGGCAGGAGAATGGTGTGAAACCAAGATGCGGAGCTTGCAGTGAGCGGAGATGGCGCCACTGCACTCCAGCCTGGGCGACAGGGCAAGACTCCGTCTCGAAAAAAATAAATAAATAAAATAAAATAAAATGATTTTGGAGTTCTAAAAATAAAATTTTCTAACTATATTGAGTGATAAAAGTAACTATTTCAAAGATGTGGTCATGATGTTTTGATAGGGCCTTGAAAGGGAAGACTTAAAATTTTAAGTTCTTCAATTTCAAGTCTCTCAAGATTTCCTCTATCCTTAAGCAGGTAGGTTAGACAGGTCCTAGTTAGATTACGCAGATACTCTTATCTGAACATTTATATTATTTCTCTGAAACATATACACCACTCCACACACCACCACGCACAATTTTTATGCAGGGTTAGCATAAAAATTGCTAACCCTGGCAATTTTTCAAAGGGTAAGTTCTTTAATTTAATTCATCCTATCTCTATTAATATTCAGGCATTTTCCCTAAAACGTTCAATGAAATTAAATAGTTTTACCTAAATTTGGCCAACTATGAGAAATGTTAAAGTATACCGAGTCAATCTGTATCTTGAAACAAATGACAGCCTAAAAAGTTTTCAACCATACAACCCATAACAATGGATTTCTATCTGGTAGATTTCAACAAAATTAGTGAGATATCTGCATGAGTAAAGTCTACAGTTCAAAAGTCACTATTTTACAGTTACTCCAAGGTTTTTAGATAGATGATATAGCTGTCATAAGTCTACAATTTATTTAAAACATTTCTTGGTCAGATAATTATTACCTATTTTGATCTTTTTTAATGTGGAAGTAAAATGCTCCAAAATATTAATGACAGTGGATAATACCATACCTTAAAAAAAGAAAACAAAACAAAAACTCTACATACATGGAGGGGACAAGAATTTGTCCTCACTGGCACCAACATATTCTGAATATGAATATGCATTCCCTGCCTACAGTGCTTCTGCCAGCATCACCATCAAGGACATGGGCGACACCTTGTTCATCATCAAGGTATACTACTCAACAAGACTTTGATCAAGGTACTCATTTCACAGAAAAAGGGTTATGCAGGAATGGGTTATGGAACTTGGAAATCACTGGTCTTACCACATACTCCATCACCCAGAAGCAGCTGGTCTAACAGAATGGACTACTGAAGACTCACTCAGTTACAGTGGATCAATGAGCAATATACAATATTGTTTTCCCCATAGCTAGAATACAAAGGCCTGAGAATCAAGGGGCACAAGTAGAAGTAGTTCCTCTATTATTCCTAAAAATTCCATTAGCAGAAGTTTTGTTTCAAGTACCTACGACTTTGATATCTGCTGGATTGGAGGCCTTGGTTCCCAAGCAGGGAATGATTCCACACAGTTCCACTGAACTGGAAGTAACAACTACCTCATGACCACTGCCTCCATACCACTAAATCAGAATTTCTCAATCTTAGCACTACTGACAGTTTGGACTGGATCAGTCTCTACTCTTGGGGGCTGTCCTGTGCATTTCAGGATGCCTGACAGCATCCCTGAACTCTACCCACTAGATGCCAGTAGCATTCCCCCACCCCCACGAAAGTCATAACAATTAAAAATGTCTCCAGGCATTGCCAAATGTCCCCTGGGAGGTAAAACTGTCCTAAGAACCACCGCACTACATCAACAGTCAAAGAAGGGGGTTATTCTATTAGCTGATGTAATTCAGTCCTATTACTAGGTGATACTGTACTGTTGCTACATAATGGGGACAAAGAGGACTATGTCTGGAACCCTGAGGATTCCCTGAAATGTTTTTCTAAACCTATATATATAAGAGCAAAACTTAATGGAAAACCACAGCCACAGGCATGCACACACATGAAGCAGGACCACCAAAGATTTGTATTCTTTTTTTTCTTTTTTTGAGACAGAGTCTTGCTCTGTCGCCCAGGCTGGAGTGCAGTGGTGTGATCTTGGCTCACTGCAACTTCCACCTCCCGGGTTCAAGTGATTCTTGTGCCTCAGCCTCCCAAGTAGCTGGGATTACAGGCGCCTGCCACCACGCCCAGCTAATATTTGTATTCTTAGTAGAGACAGGGTTTTACTATGTTGGCCAGGCTGGTCTCAAACTCCTGACCTTGTGACCTGCCCACCTCAGCTTCCAGAGTGCTGGGATTACAGGCGTGAGCCACCATGTCCGGCCCATGGTCTTTTTTTCTTTTTTTTTTTTATTCTTTTTTGTGAGACAGTCTCACTCTGTCACCCAGGCTGGAGTGCAGTGGTGTGATCTCAGCTCACTGCCACGTCTGCCTCCTGGGTTGAAGCGATTCTCCTGCCTCAGCCTCCTGAGTAGCTGGGACTACAGGTACCCGCCACCACGCCCAGCTAATTTTTTATATTTTTAGTAGAAACGGGGTTTCACTGTGCTAGCCAGGATGGTCTCGATCTCCTGACCTCGTGATCCACCCGCCTCAGCCTCCCAAAGCCATATTCTTTATTAATGAAGATTTAGGTTACCCCACCAGCTGAGATCTTGAATGAGAACAAAGGAAACATGGAATGTACAGCAGAAGTAGTTATAAATATGAACTACAATCTCTCAACCAGTTACAGAAGCAAGGTCTACAGCAGCTATACATATTTTCTTCCTTATTACAGGGAAACGGGCAAGTTTATAAATCAATTCCTTCCCTCTTCTTCTCTATGTTATTCAAACTTTATTAAAGGTTAACTTTACAATTTAGTCCCTAGGTAACAGGATATTCAGAAGGAACTATGAATTTGAGGCATAATTAACACAGCCTAGAAATAGATAGTGTGAATGTCCCCCAGAAATCAATACAATTATGAGACTCTGCTCCTCATTTTGGGAAGAGGGTAAGGACATCCTCATTTTTACAAAGAACATTTTCATCTTTTTAGGCAAGAGCTTAGAGTGTTTTTCTTCTTGTAAAGAAGATGAAATATCTGTATAAAGGCTGAGTGGTCAAACACTTTGGGAGGCCGAGGCAGATGGATCACCTAAGGTCAGGAGTTTGAGACCAGCCTGGCCAACATGGTGAAACCCTGTCTCTACAAAAATTAGCCAGGCATCGTGGTGAGTGTTTACAGTCCCAGCTACTGAGGAAGCTGAGGTGGAAGGATCACTTGAGCCCAGGAGGTCAAGGCTGCAGTAAGCCATGATTGCACCACTGCACTCTAGCCTGTGCAACAGAGCAAGACCCTGTCTCAAAACAATTTACGGCCTGGCCAAGTTCAGTGACTCATGCACTTTGGGAAGCCGAGGCGAGAGGACAGCTTGAGGCCAGGTGCTCGAGACCAGCCTGGGAAACACAGCAAGATCCTGTCTCTATAAAATAAGAAAATGAGCCGAGCGTGGTGGCATGTACCTGTAGTCCTAGCTTCTTGGGAGAATCACTTCAGCTCAGGAGTTCAAGGCTGAAGTGAGCTATGAAGCCTAGGGGACAGAGCAAGACCCTGTCTTTAAAAAGAAAAAGAAAAAAATCTATGGCCTAAATAAAAACAAACAAGATCAATAAACATCCATGTATTTCTATATATTAGCAACAATCAAAAATTGAAACTAAAAAACAATACCTGTTAAGATGGCAATCTTCCCAAAGTTGATCCATGGACTCAGCAGAATCTCTATCAAAACTGGCTTTTTAATAGAAATTGACAAGCCAATCCGAAACCATACAAGGATAACAAAAGACCTAGACTAGTCAAAACAATTCTGAGAAACAAGAAAGCTGGAGGACTTATACTACCTGACTTGATATTTTATTATAGTTTATATAGTTAAGCTCTTTTATAGTTAAGACTATGTGGTATTGGCATAACAGGCACATAGCACAAATACAAAAATTAACTAAAAATGAGCCACAAACGTTAGTATAAATCCTAAATTTCTACAGAAAACAGAGGAGAAAAATTTGTGACCTTATATTAGAAAAAGATACCTTAGATATACCAATAACATGATCTATTTTTTAATTGATAAGGTGGACTTCAGAAAAATTAAGAACATCTGCTTTTGAAAGACTTTGAGAACAAAAAAACAAGGAAAAACTAGAAGACTTGCAAATCATTTATCTGATGAACTTGTATTCAGCATATATTATGAATTCTGAAAACTCCAGTAAAACCCAATTTTTTAAAAATGGGCAAAAGAGATAAACAGCTCACCAAAGAAAATATTCAGATGGTAAATAAGCACATGAAAAGATGCTCAATATCATGAGTCATTAGGGAAATGCAAATCAAAACCACAATGAGACACCACTTCATACCCACTAGGATGGCTGTAATTTAAAAGAAAAGGTTAAATAAGTGTTGGCAAAGATGTGGAACAACTGAAACTCTCATATACTGCTGTAAGATGATACAATCACTTTAGGAACAGCTTGGTGGCCTCTTAAAATATTACAGAATATAATATCCTGTAACATTATTATATACATCCACCATATGATCCACCCATTTCTACTCCTTTGTATTTACTCAAGAGAAATGACAGTCATGTATATGAATCTTCAAGACAACTTTATTTGTAATGGTGAAAATTTGAGTTGTCTTCAGTTATCCATCAACAAGTGAATGGATAAACAACTTATGATATATCCACTGAGACAAAAACAGCTCAAGGGTTCCCTAGGGATGGGATGGAGGTAGGAATGGATTATAAGGAGGCTGGAGAAAACTTTTGCCGGTAATATATGTTCTTCATCTTGATTGTGGTGATGGTATCAAAGGCTTATATGTATATCAAAACTCATCAAATTATACATTTTAAATATGTGCAGTTTATTGATTGGATGGCAATTTTACCTTAACCTAAAAGCTGTGGAAATTCTATTATTCTAGAATAGCAAAAAGCAATAAAGTTCCTAAAAACAGCAATAAAAACAAGAGGCAATAGGTCTTGTCTATTTACTCACACACTTACCCGAGTGTGTGCTCTTCATTATTTCCTACAGTTTTGTACTTCCATTTGAGATATTTTCATTCTGCCTAAAAAACTTCCTTCAGTAATCTTACAGTGCAGGTCTGCTGGTCATAAATTGTCAGCTTTTGATTGTCTAAAAATGTCTTTATTTCGCCTTCTTGTCTGAAGGATATTTCTGCTGAAGGTAGAATTCTAGCTTGGCAGGTTTTTTTGCCAACATTTAAAAAATGTCTGTTATTTCCCAGTTTCCACAGTTGTATTAAAAAGTCAGCCATCAGTTGTATTATATCGTTCCTTTGAACACAGTGCCTTTTTTCCCCTCTTCTGGCTGCTTTTAAGCGTTTCTCTTTGTTTCTGGTTTTCAACAGTTCCATTAAGATATGCTAAGTGTAGTTTTCTTTGTGTTCATCCTGCTTGGGGTTTGCTAAACTACTTGAATTTATAGGTTGATGCCTTTCATCAGTTTGGGAAAATATTTTATCATTACCTCTTCAAGTATTTGCTTCCATGCTAATCTCTCTACTTTTGGGTCTCCAATTACACATTAGACTTTTTACTAATGTTCCACATGTCTCAGAGGCTCTGTTCTACTCTTTCCATTCTTTTTTTTTTTTCTGTGCTTTTATCTAGATATTTTCTATTGATCTGTCCACAAGCTCTCTAGTCTTGCCTTCTGCTGTGTATAGTCTGCTACTGAACCGGTACAATGAATAATTAATTTCAGATTAATGTCAATTAATTATTAATGGGGGGGTTTGTGATGGTGGTGTTAAGGAAGATTTTGTTCTGTCTTGTTTTGTTTTTTAATGTGGCATGCACTATACTAAGCCCTGGGAGTACAACAACGAACAAAACAGACATAGGCCCTGCTCTCGTGGAACTTAAATAGTATACATTAAATTTACCTGGGTTTTTTTTGTTTTTGTTTTTGTTTTTTAAGAACAGTAAAGAATGAGGGGGAGGTGGAGTGTCCTAGAGTCCTGCGCCAAAGTTTCTAATTAAACTACAAATAAAGACCTTAAGCAACCAACGTTGTGTTTTTGATTCCTAGAATGTTCATTTGGTTTCTTTCTGTGGATTCCAATTCTCTATGAAAATTTTCATCCATTTTCTCCGTATTTTCCTTTATTTTCTTAAGTATATTATAGTTATTTTAAAATAAGTCTTTGTCTGATGAACTTCAATTTTCTGAGTCTGCTTCTATAAGTTTTATTTTTCTCTTGAATTTTTCCACCCTTTCACATCTCTAGAATAGTTAATAGTATGATAGTATTATAAACGAAAGAACCATAGAAACCCCAGAATATATCTCCTCAGTAAGAGCTGTCTATTTCCTCTATTAGGCAAAAGGGATAAGATAGGCTGATCACCTCAGTCCAATCAGGAATTGAACTGGGCCAGGGATATGTTGCAGTTTTAGTAAAATGCACTTCCTCTCTAGTTTCCTTTTCCTTCAGTGTGTGTCCAGAATCAGCAAATGTCAGCAATCCTCTGCTCACCTATAAAGATCTCTTCTATTTCTGGAATTCTAATTCATCTAGTCCTCATTACATCCATAGCTCTCCAATATTTTTTTTAGTATTGATTTTTAAAGTTCATCCAATTGTGGTTTTCTAACTTGTTGCAGTGATATATATGACTGTACTGTGACCTATTAAATACCACCCAGAAATTAAATTCTCCCTGTATATCACACAGCAGTGGTTTACAAACCCAGCTTTATGTCAAAAATGACCTGGGACCTCTAGAAATCACACGATGTTTAGTAGAGCCAGGAAATCTGTACTTTTAACAAGTCTTAAGTGATCTGGCAGAGCTGACATTTCTAAAGAAACTAGCGTGCCTGCACCAGTTGCTCCTCCTCTCCCCTCCCCCACAGCTCAGTATTTATAAGGACATTTAAGAAAAAATACACACTACACACAATGGATAAATTAACAGAAGAGTTAAAACAAAAGTTCAGAATAACTAGAAATGTTAAAGACAAAAATATGTAAAGGCTTTTAAAATACATTAGGATCAAAAAGATGAGGAAAGAAGAACAAGAATCACTAGAGTCCATGATTCCAGCACCAATAGGTCATTAAAAGCAGAACTATTCAACTCAATTTTTATTTCTAATTGTTCTAGTTGAAAATAAAATGAGGCCAAGGCATGGTGGCTCACGCCTGTAATCCTAGCACTTTGGGAGGCCGAGGCAAGAGGATCACCTGAGGTTACGAGCTCGAGACCAGCCTGGACAACACAGTGAAACACCTTCTCTATTAAAAATACAAAAATTAGCCGGGCATCGTGACAGGTGCCTGTAATCCCAGCTACTCGAAAGACTGAGACACAAGAATCGTTTGAACCTGGGAGGCGGAGGTTGCAGTGAGCCGAGATCGCGCCATTGCACTCCAGCCTGGGTGACAGTGACTCAAAAAAGAAAAAAAAAAGAAAAAGAAAAAAAAGAAAATGATCTTCAAATCTGAAAAAAAGCATTGCTGAGAGTCATCAGAACTTAGATACATAAAGCATGAAGAGCCCACCTCCCTGTTTTACCTGAGCTCAAGTGTACATGAATCCAAGATACAGATGAAAATTTAGAAATATGGTAAGAGAAATGTGGTCAGTGAACTTGCAGAAGTCATGAAAAGTAACAGGAGCCAGATTGGGAATGAGAAAATGTTGTTGCAATTGTCAAAATCCAAGAGTGGGTAAAGGTGAAAGGGTGATTTTAATACTATGGACTTAATTTAATGTCAGCATCCAGATAATTCTAAGACTGATTAGGCATGAGTTGTTAGCACTTATACAGGGAAGCAGCATTTACTAATAAAATCTTACCTTTGTAAAGCACTTTTGCTTTTGAGTTTAGAGTAGACAAAATACTTTCATGCATATTACCTCCTATCTTTGATTCTCATAGATCCCTGTGAAAAAGTGCAGGTAACATTATGTCCCCTCCACCACGTGTTACTCTCTTCAACATATTAGGAATTCAGGGCTCATACAGCTTGGCTTGCCCCCCTGTTAACTCATTCCAGTAGAAAGTTAAGACTTAAAGTCAAGTCTTCTGATTCCTAATTGAGTTGTTTTTATATTACACAGCTCTTAAAGTCAGTATAAGAATAAATCACGCTGAAATGATATATAGGATTGCTTTAAAATAATAAAGAGGTAGTGAGCAGGAAATGGGTAGGAATACGGATGAAATAAGACTAGGGAGAAATTGAGTAATGGATACAAAAGGATTAATTTATAACATCTCTCTAGGCCATGTGCAGTGGCTCACGCCTGTAATCCCAGCACTTTGGGAGACTGAGGCGGGTGGATCACTTGAGGTCAGGAGTTCGAGACCAACCTGCACAATATGACAAAACCCTGTCTCTACAAAAAATACAAAAAATTTAGCCAGGCGTGGTGGTGTGCACCTGTGATCTCAGCTACTCGGGAGGCTGAGAGAGAGGATGGCTTGAGCCTGGGAGGCAGAGGTTGCAGTGAGCCAAGATCGTGCCATTACACTCCAGCCTGGGTAATAGAGTGAGACTCTGTCTCAGAAAAAAAAAAAAAAAAAAAAAAAAAAAACTCTCTACTTTTATGTTGGAAACTTTTTATTTTAAAACATGTGAATTAACATTTTTGATAGGTATACTGTACTGGTAATCAAATGCATACCAAAAATATACTGTACCTGAAGCTCAGCATTTTTTTTTTTTTAACAGAGTTTCACTCTGTCACCCATGCTGGAGTGTAGTAGCACAAACACCACTCACTGCAGGCTCAACCTCCTGGGCTCAAGCCATCCTCCCACCTCAGCCTCCCAAGTACCTGGGACTACAGGCATGCACCACCACGCCTAGCTACTTTTTTTATTTTTTTGTGCATACTAGCTGTGTTGTCCAGGTTGATCTCAAACTCCTGGGCTCAAGCAATCCTCCCTCCCCCACCTCCCAAAGTGCTGGGATTACAGGTGTGAGCCACCATGTCCAGCAAGCTCAGCATTTTTAAATCCATTTAAGTTTCATATAATGCCCTCATACAACATTGGGAGGAAAGATAAAAAATGGTATGCCTGAGTACTGACCACCATTGCACCAAAAGGAAAACAATTAGGATAGTGAGGTGTCTTGAAAACATGTTCTTTGAGAAATGGTTGAAGAATGAATGAAATTTTTTGGTGGGGGTGGGAATCTAGGGTGTACTTAAGATGTCTTCAAATGTTTTTATTTTATTTTTATGTATTTATTTTATTTATTTATTTATTTTTTCAGAGACAGAATCTCGGTTGGGCACGGTGGCTCATGCCTGTAATCCCAGCACTCTGGGAGGCCGAAGTGGGAAGATCGCTTGAGTCCAGGAATTCAAGACCAGCCTGGGCAAGATGGCGAAACCTCGTCTCTACAAAAAATTTAAAAACTAGCCCGGCATGGTGGCATGCACCTGTGGGTAGTTTGTGTCATGAGAGGAACAAGAGCTTCAGGTCTTCGTTGATCTTTGTCGCCAATATATGACTAAAACAAAACCTACTATCACTGTCATTCCCTACTCCAGATTCACTTATCAGAGGCCAAAAACTGAAACATAACAGGGAAAGAAATACTGTGCTTTTTTTCCCTCCGCACTCATTACCCAAAAGGAAGAAGACTCACATGGAGCATAAAGGCACATTTTCCCAGACCCAAGGTGGGACAGGAATAGAAGGCACCGATAAAGACAGGAGGATAGAAAAAAATACTCCAAAAGACAAGATGAAGGATTTGAGGGTTGTTATAGGGAAAAAGAAAAACTGAAAAAGTAGATGTAACAATTAAAAAAACCACATCCAGGAATCTTCATTCAAATACTACCAAAGTTGAAAAGTTTGCCTCAAATGTAATCAAACTCTAAGTAAAATGTTCTTAGAATATAAAAACCAACTTTACAAAAATAGACTGTGCAATGCCAACATGAAAGAATCATAATCTCATATTTATAGCTGTATGTGTATTTCTGTTGGTATTCTCACAAATTCTATTCTCCCACTTAAGAATGTACAATAAGTGTATTATATAACTAAATAAAAGGGAAACAATGTTACAACTTCTAACAGCTGAAGAAGTTTTGATAAAGTGACCAGGAGAATAATACATAATGAAATCAAGGATATATAATGCTTAAAATTTACATCTATTTCTAACATCTAACCAACTTGAAAAGATTCAGATACTCTAACATGAACTTAAAAGGAAAAACATAATATACCATCTTCGAGTGAAGAAGCAATCATACATCCCTCATTTTGCATATTTGTACTACCTGTTAGTAAAATTTAGACTTTTAAAACTATTTATTGGAAAGATAGTGATCTAAGGGTCAAGACATCCATACTCTAGTTTAACTCAGTTAATTATATAATCATATGATTGTGAACATGTTTTGCCTCTGTAACTTTTTTCTCATGTAGAGTAGAAATAATAACCACCAAATTATAAAGAATGGATAGAAAAAAAATACTGCACAGATGCTAATACATTTTTATGACTGTTTACAGCTTCCTTTCATATAAGATTCATACCTAAGTCATTAAACAAGCCCATGATGTGAGAAGGGTAAGTATCATGCCCATTTTACACATGAAAATATAGAAAACTGATGTTCAGAGAGGTTAAGAGACTTCCCCAAGACCACACTGCAAGTTGCACAATCAAAAGCTTTTTCTTTTACTACATAGTAGGCTGCCCTCACAAGTCTAAAGTGGTAAAAGTTGTTTTCTCATGCCCAAACTACTATGAGAACTACCCAAGAGAAACCGTGTCAACAGAAAAGTGTCACCACTTGAGATCATTAAGAGACATAACTTCCCAAAAGGTCATTATCTGAGTATAAAATTTTGATTAAAAATAAGTTAAATAATCCTTAAAAGTTTCTAGTAGTCCTGCTATTTACTAAATTAATTTCATGCCTCTTGTGCTAGATATACCACTCTGCTGGTGGGGGTGGGACACGGGAGTTAGGTGGAGCAGGAAAGAATTTCATCAGAAAAAGTTAAGTTCTCAGCCGGGCACGGTGGCTCATGCCTGTAATCCCAGCACTTTGGGAGGCCAAGGCAGGAGGATCACCTGAGGTTGGGAGTTCAAGACTAGCCTGACCAACATGGTGAAACCCTGTCTCTACTAAAAAAACAAAATCAGCTGGGCATGGTGGCGCATGCCTGTCATCCCAGCTACTTGGGAGGCTGAGGCAGGAAAATCGCTTGAGCCTGGGAGGCAGAGGTTGCAGTGAGCCCAGATCACAACATTGCACTCCAGCCTGGGCAACAAGAGCAAAACTCCATCTCAAAAAAAAAAAGTTATCTGAAGTTCAATGGAATAAGACATTCAAAGCTATAAAATATGAATAAGGGCAGGCGACAGCTTGTGGACTGCAGTGGCAACCCTAAGCCAAACCGTGAGTGCCAGACTATGGTTTAAAGAAAATATGCAATCTGGAAGTTTGCACCTCAAGTTACTGCTACTGCAAAGTAATTAGTACCATTTATGGTAAGAATATGTAAAGTTTTAGAACATAATGCCAATTCTTCATTTTAGTAGGATGAACTCCACACTAGCTTGAGGCTTTGTCTCAACAGAAGCTTTTTGATGATATAGTCAGTGGCTCAAAAGCCACTCAGGACCCAGCACAGTAGTTCACGCCTGTAATTCCAGTGCTTTGGGAAGCCAGGTGGGAAGACTGCTTGAGGCCAAGAGTTTGAGACCAGCCTGGGCAACATAACAAGACACTGTCTCTACGAAAAAAATTAAAATAATAGCCAGGTATGGTGGCGCACGCCCATAGTCCTAGATATTCGGGAGGTGGGAGATCACTTGAGCCCAGGAGTTCGAGGCTATGGTGAGCTATGATCACACCACTGCACTCCAGCCTGAGGAACAAAGAGAGACCTCACTTCTAAAATAAATGAATAATAAACAATTTTTAAAAACCAGTTATATGCAGAGAATATAACTATATATCACAGGCATATAACATTTGAAGTGGTCAAATGGATTGCCTTTAAGAGAATTTAGCGAGGGTACTATAAACAGCAGTTATAGTTTATATCCTATAGCATTAAACACCTGAGAGTACTCTGTTTACTGAAGGCTCTACCACATAGTATGATACAGAAATTTACAACTTGCTGAGACCTTAAACTTAATTCACAGTCACTACAACGTAAAACCACTTTTCTGTCCTTCAAGATCAAAACAAATGGTCTCATCTCTCCCTTCCCGCCCCCAAGAAAATGGGGTACTTTAAAAGATGTCAGATGAAACAAGCCAATGCTTTTATAAATACAAGTCAATCCTTTGCAAAGAAACAGATTAAGATGCTCATATTCTGCTTCGGTATTGATCCCAAGCCTTTTAACAGTTTAAGCTGACCACAAATCTCCCCTTCCACTTCTATAGAATATTCTCCTCCTTAAACTTCCTTTAGAGCCTTCCGATACCTCCTGTCCCTTGACTTATATACACACACACCTCCAAAATATACGCAGACCTAAGGAACACAAGTGGAAAACACATTTTTAATTAATACGCTGCTTATCCTTAAAAGTATGTCGTTAGAATGCAACAATATAGAGTCTACATAGAACCCCAGAATACCAAATTTGAAAGCTACAACAAAAATGCCCCATAGCAATCTGAGTAATTTAAAGAACAAAGATGTAAAAAATAAGGCATTCTTACTACTGTATTATATGACTTAAACTTTTGTTTAAGGACAAAATGTTTGGTTGGGTGCAGTGGCCGGTACCCAAATAAAAAACGAAAAACAAAAATACTTTCTCCATATTAAAAAAAAAAATTTTTTTTGAGACAGGGTCTCACCCAGGCCAGAGTGCAGTGGTGCAATCATGCCTCACTGCAGCCTTAATTTCCTGGGCTCAAGCAATCCTGACTCAGCCTCCCAAGTAGCATATACTACCACACTTGGCTAATTTGTCTGTTTTTTTTCTTTTCTTTACTTTCAACCAATGCACACTGGCTGATTTTTTTTTTATTTGTTTTTTTTACTTTTTGTAGAGATGGGGTCTCACTCTGTTGCCCAGGCTGGTCTCAAACTCTGAGGCCCAAGTGATCCTCCCACCTCAGCCCCCCAAAAAGCTTGAATTATAGGCATGAGCCACCGCACCCAGCCAAAACATTTTTTAAAAGCAGACTTAAGGCCAGGTGCAGTGGCTTGCATCTGTAATCCCAGCACTTTGGGAGGCTGAGGCAGGTGTTTGAGGCCAGCCTGGCCAACATGGCAAAACCCCGTCTATAGTAAAAATACAAAAATAGGGCCAGGCACGGTGGTTCAAGCCTGTGATCCCAGCACTTTGGGAGGCTGAAGCGGGCGGATCACCTCAGGTCAGGAGTTCAAGACCAGCCTAGCCAACATGGTAAAACCCTGCCTCTACTAAAAATACAAAAAAATTAGCTGGGTGTGGTGGCACACGCCTGTAATCCCAGCTACTTGGGAGGCTGAGGCAGGAGAATCACTTGAACCCGGGAGGCAGAGGTTGCAGTGAGCCAAAATTGTACCACTACACTCCAGCCTAGGCGAGAAAGCGAGAACTTGTCTCAAAATAATAATAATAATAAAGCAGATTTGAGAAAAGAATCTAATTTCCTAATGGTTAAAAAGTCAAATAAAAAGAGTAGGGCAAAAAACAGGAACATTTAAAATAAAATGTAACAATATTAGACCAGCACCACAGCTTATGCCTATAATCCCAGCACTTTGGGAGGCTGAGGCAGGTGGATTGTTTGAGGTCAGTAGTTTGAGACCAGCTAACATGGCGAACCCTTGTCTCTTTTAAAAATACAAAAATTAGCCAGGTGTGGTAGTACGTGCCTGTAATGCCAGCTACTTGGGAGGCTGAGGCAGGAGAATCGCTTGAACCCAGAAGGTGGAGCTTGCAGTGAGCTGAGATCGTGCCACTGCACTCCAACCTGGGCAATAGAGCGAGACTCTATCTCAAAAAAAAAAAAATGAAGAAGAAGAAAAAAGAGAACTTGTCAATGGATACTAAAGTAAGGTATATATTGGCCAAGGTACATACAAAGGAATATCCAGAGACTAGTCACGCTCTCTTTTTTTTTTTTTGGAAGACAGGGTCTCACTCTGTCACCGAAGCTGGAGTACAGTGGCACAATCATGGCTCACTGTATGCTTGAACTCCTGGGTTCAAGTGATCTTCCTGCCTCAGCCTCCTGAGTAGCTGCGACTACAGGCACATGCCACCACACCCAACTAATTTTTTTTAGAGACAGCATCTCACTATGTTGCACAGCCTGGTCTTGAATTCAAGGCCTCAAGCAGTCCTCCCACATGGGCCTCCCAAAGTGCTGGGATTACAAGCATCAGCTACCGCACCTGGCCTACTCTCCCTTATTTAATGAAAACACAATAATCAGTAATAAGCTACACTGCACTCTAGCCTGAGTGACAGAGCAAGACTCTGTCACACACACAAAAAATAATAATAATAATAAGCTATAAAGAAAACATATAAATCTTATATTAGAAAAATTTTAGACTTTTCAAAGTGCTTCACATTCATATTCTATCACACCATTGCAAAATATCCTAACAGTAAGTGACAAATCCAAAATTACAAAAGTAGTTGATCAGATCTGAAACCTGATTCAAAAAACATGTTTGCTCTATGGGAGGAAATATAAATATGTATAAATTCCTTCTTTATGCTAATTTTCTTACTCATTCCTAGTTAAAATATCACTTATCAGACCTAGGCTATTGCAAACATGGAAGTAAAATTCAGTAAAACAAAGCCAAAAGTACCACTTTTTTTATTTAGCCAGTCTACCCTTCAACCAGGAATCATATGAAAAACATTCCATCAATGTTCTGTGTGTTTAAGACTGTGCTGGGCACTGGGGTGACTAGAAGAGAATTCAAATAGCGTTCTTTGCTTTTCAGAAAGTATGCACTCCATTTGATAAAAAGACAAGAAAAAAAGAAAACAAAGCCAAGCTGTGTTCAAACAATCCTCCTAAAGGAAGAAAACTTACTGTGTGGTTCTGTAAAACTCCAGGTAACAAGGATACCAAGAAGTGAGATAGCAGAGTTTAGTCTGAAACAACCTCATGGGGAAAAAAAAAAAATGAAATCTGAGCTGAACATTGAAGGATGGACAGGAATTAGAAAAGCACAAAGGAGGAATTAAAGCATTCAGGCAGAGACTGGCAGAAATAAAGGCCAAGAAGTGGGAAGAAGCATGATACACACAGAAGAGACTGAGGTGACCTGCCTGGAACATAGGTGCATGCAGAGGCATAATGGGAAAGAGTTTGGTAAATCAAGTGGGGTCAGCTCCCAATAGACTGCTGGGTCACAGAGACATGCTGTTAGAATATTAAAATCATCGAATATTTAAACTTGAAAGAATCTAAAAGATTTTCTAGCCATTTCTTTTTCAACAGATGAGGAAATCAAGGATCTATAGGAAAGCTAATGGCTAGGATAGGGACAAAGGCACTGAATAGCAGAACAAAACTAAGACCCCCGCTAAGGAACTCCAATTCAGTAGAAAAGTATTGTGTCTTGGGAACTGGAAGAGATTGGTTTCCGGGGGGAGTGGAACATCACAGTGGCATTACAACTAAGCAATGACCACTATGTTTTGCCAGAAGTAATCACTTTCAAGAAAACAGCAATCAAGCAGAGGCAGGAGCTACTTTTCAGAGTTATAAAGGAAATGGGTGGATAAACAGTAGAGGCGGTGAGTATCTGGCAACAACAACAACAAAAAAGACTGGTCCACAGAGAGAGAGCTGCAGGACCAAGTAAACGTCTGATTTCCAAGAGAAAGGAAATCTTAGCCTGAAAAGTGAAAAGAAAGCAGCCAACATAAAGACTAAATTAGTTCCCAGACAGATAAGGTGGAAAGTGTAAGGGAGTGCAGAGAACTGAGGAACAGCTGGAAGAAATCTTTCTAAAGGATGAATTCCGGGCCGGGCACGGTGGCTCATGCCTGTAATCCCAGCACTTTGGGAAGTCAAGGCAGGTGGATCACGACATCAAGAAATTCAGACCCATCCTGGCTAGCACGGTGAAACCCTGTCTCTACTAAAAATACAAAATTAGCTGGGCGTGGTGGCATGCGCCTGTAGTCCCAGCTACTTGGGAGGCTGAGGCAGGAGAATCGCTTGAACCCAGGAGGCAGACGTTGCAGTGAGCTGAGATCGCGCCACTGCACTCCAGCCTGGGCGACAGAGTGAGACTCCATCTCAAAATAAATAAATAAATAAAAATTTAAAATAACAATAATAATAAATTAAAAAATTCCGAAGCAAAGAATAAGCATTATTGTGCTCGATTCAGCACCACATATACTAAAATTGGAAGAATAAGCATTATTTCTCACTCACCATAAAGAATTCGTCACCATAAAAGAGTACTCATTTTCAACTACTATAAGGCCTTATAAAAATTACACACCAGGCTTGAAGAATGAGGCTAGGAGATATTTTTTAAATC